>NC_000007.14:93415869-93718900 GCF_000001405.40 Homo sapiens | reverse complement strand
ATTGAAATGTCACACCCATTGGAAACATAGCACTACTATGTCATAATGATAAATCTTTTCCATACCTTCACTGGATGATTCAATTCGATTATTTAAGACAATAATTCAACATCAGAAAATTAAAGAAAGAACCAAAGTGATGACAGTAAATGCTTGGTAATGATTAGTGACTCCTTGCCAGCACACAGATTTCATCACCCGCGTAATTCTTATTTAGCATGGACCCTCTTCCAAGTTATTAGGATTCCTCAGTGATATTCAAATTGAGTAACAAAAGAAATTGGCTCAGTTTATCCTCTGTTTTTATCACTGCAAGCCTAGACATAGTGATTAATCCAGAAATAGCAATTATTTCCTATTTTCCCTAAAAATAACACTTAGAAGCTGGGCAACTCAGCTCTGAGACTCAGATTGTGCAGTTTGACATCTGATGATTATAATGTCTGCTGACCTCAAACTGTATTGTATGAATTACATAATAACCATGCATACAAAAGAAAGCAGAAATCATGAGGAATATTATAGTATAAAATCATTAATGTTATTTTCTTAATTTCTGCAGAAGTATCTATGAACCTTAACTCTGCTTATAATATTTTTGCCATAAAGTAGAATTTCTTTTCATTCCATACAATACCTCAATCTTTTCCTTTATAGCTTTCTTGTTATCACTCATAGGAAGTTATTTTGCTGAAAAACTATGTAACATTCATGAATAATTTATCTTAATTTTTTTCAGTCTCTAATATTTAATTCAGCTATAATTTTGTTATAAGGTATGTAACTTAGTTATCAAAAATATTTTTCCCTGGCAAATAATTCCTCAGTTGTCTTTTGAAATGGCAACGCCAAAATTGCTATCACCATTTTACAGATGAGTGACAGTTACTCACAGGGCTAAAGTGATAGACAGTGGTGTGGGCACCAGCTCAAACCTGCTCTCAAGAGGCAATTGCAGGTAGCATTTCTGAACTCCATATTCAACAAATTGGATATGATGGAAATACACCATGAAAATCAGCAAATACTACAAGCTTTCAACTTTCCTCCCTCCCTTCCTCCCTCTCTCCATCTTTCCCTCACTCCCTTCCTCTCTCTCCCTCTCTCTCTATTCCCCCCTCCCTTCCTCCCTCCCTCCTTCCCTTCTTTTCCTTCCTTCCATCCTTCCTTCCTCCTTTTCTTTCTCTTTCTTTCTCTCTCTCCCCATTTCTCCCCATTTCTTCCTTCTTTTTCTTTCTCTTTCTTTTGGTTCCCTCCCTCCCTTTCTTTGTTCCTTCCTTCTTTCATTCCTCTCTCTCCTCATTCCCTTCCTCCCTTATTCCCTGTTCTCCTCCTCTCCTTCCCTCCTTTTCCTAGGTTTAAGGGCTTTGCAAGTTCTCTTTAGTGCACCTGGGTTGACCTGATTTTGTTGTTCTCTACTATGTGGTTTGGGATGTGGTTTCAAAACTCATACCACCGCAACTTATTCATTCATAAAGATCTCTATTTCATTTGAGTAATCATTATGACTTATTGTAGCACTGGAGGACTGAGGAGTGCTTTGGGGCCAGAGGTTGGGTAATACTTAAGAGGAGGTGTTGTCAGCTGTTTGTTAGAAGAGAGACTTGCTGTCTGAAACTCAGTGAGTTGTTGCCTACAGGTCAGTAGCAAGGCCAGGAACATGACCTTGGATTTAAGATTTTCTGTCTTTTCAATGGAAACAATATGCTGACCATTTCTTTCACTTCGTAATCCTTCATCACATAGTCTCCCTTCAGAAGGTCTTCTCAACCACCACTGACATTGATTGCAAAGATTTTTAAAATTCTCATCACTTTTTCTCTCTGGTCTGACACTAGGGGACTGCTTGTTTGGCCTTACTCAGCCTAGTTGAGCTTATATTGAGGTTTATACTCTATTAGATGAGGGGATGGGTTAACAGAACAAAATAGTTCTGGTTAGTTAGTTCTATTAACCAGTCCCCTCGTCCAATAGAGTCAAACGATTCTGAATCACTGTTGGCCATTATCACTCTCATCACTACTCCAGTCTGACCAACTTTTGCATAGTTATATATATAGTATGTAACTTAGTTATCTAAAGTATTATATATATAATATTATATATATGCATATATAGATAGATAGATAGAGAGAGAGAGAGAGAGTCTTTCTCAGTTGTCCAGGAGTACAGTGGTGTGATCATGGCTCACTGAGGCTTGGATGTCCAGGCTCAAGCGATCCTCCCACCTCAGCCTCCTTCCTGGGTAGCTGGGATTACAGATGTGTGCCATCACACCTAGCTAATTTTTAGTAAAGACAGTCTATGTTGCCCAGGTTGGTCATCAAGTTCTGAGCTCAAGGGATATTCCCACCTTGATCTCCCAAATGCTATGATTACAACAGGCCTGAGCCACTGCACCTGGCCGCAAAGCAATCTGTAATTGTTACAGCTTACCCTGTGAGGTGTAAAGTTGAATTGGAGGTGGGGAAGAAGCATCTCTGACAATACCCCACAGCTTTGTGTAATCCCACAGCTTCTTGCACAAGAGCTTGCATATAGCTGGAGTTCAAGAAATATTTGTGGATTGGATGGATGTACAAATGAATGACAGTAAAGAGGCTACATCTGACAAGGGAGGAGGAAGCTGGGCAATGAGGATCCAGGGGACACCAGTAGGGAGGTACGGATAAATCTTTGAGATGGGAGAAAGGAGAGGCTGAAAGCGATAAGGATATAGGAAGCCCGATGCAGGCAGAGGACAGAATCCAAAGAGTTGCACACAATGCAGGTGTGTAAATGTGGACATTTAACAGGGATGGCATATTTAAAGTGGTATATTTTGAGATTTTCACTTGTTTTCTTTTCACTACCAACAAAGCTGAGTGTAATGATTAATTCTTGAAGATGTCTAAGCCAGGAAAGGGAAAAGAAAGTATTCATAACTGTCAAACAATGAATAATGGACATTTATTTGACAGTTCTTGAACATTAAAATTGAGCTAAGTTCTACATTATAATATGAAGTAGTTATAATAGGCATATAATATGTTTCCAAACATTATATGCCATTACTATGATGTGAAAATAATACCAAAGATCAGTACTTTCAACACCTGAATCACTTTGTGGTTGCAGTGCGGCAATTCTATGTACTGATTGTCTCTGAGTTTTTAACAGTGTAAGATGGTATAAAAGTCATCCATGATATCTGTAGTATTATCCAACTGTGTGTCTCACCAGCTGTGTAACTTCAGGTTAGTCCTCACTACCTCTCTGGGTTTAAATTTCCTAATCTTAAAATGAGGTCCAAGCTGGAAAATCCATCAAGTTCCTTTCTGGTCTAGCATTCATTGATTCTAGGATGTAAGATTATGCCGCGTAAATATGGACAAGACTTTCTTTTTCATTCCCCTCTTTCCATGAAGACAGGCTCCTTCTCTCTTCATAAACCATGGACTTATCCTAGGTCAAGGCTTCCTGGTCCACAGGAGACCCCTGGCGGCCACCCTGGCGAATTCTCTTGATAGATGTTACCTCCCGCAGTTCCGAAATCTTTAGAGGGTTTTTGATGCCCTAGAAAGCTTCCTATCTTTGAACTCTTAACACCTACAATTGGGTTGATACTACTTTGAGTAATCTTTTTTCACATATGCACAAACCTTTCCTTTTCTCTTACAACCCTTACCCCAAGAAAATATTTTTTCTTTTCCCTTTACTCTTTAATTTCCCTTCCTGTTTTATTTCTGAAATAAAATTGGGTGATTCTTCTTTCATTATTTAAATGATTTCATTTCTAAAAAATGTAATAACTTCTTTTCTGATTACGCAAGGAGAAGCATGCTTGTTGTGGAAAATTTGATAAGTAATAAGAAAATAAATTAGACACAATACAGGCATACCTCAGAGGTATTAGTGGGTTGGTTCCAGACAAATGCAACAAAGTGAATATTGCAATAAAGCAAGTCTCATGAGGTTTTTGGTTTCCAAAGTGCATAAAAAGGTTATATTTACACTATACTTTAGTCTATTAAGTGTGAAATAGCATTATGTCTAAAAAATATATACTTTAATTTAAAAATACTTTGCTGCTAAAAAAATGCTGATGATCATCTAAGCCTTCTGTGACTCATAATCTTTTGGCTGGTGGAGGGTCTTGCCTCAATGTTGATGGCTGCGGACTGATCAGGCTGGTGATTGCTGAAGGTTCTGATGGCTATGGAAATTTCTTAAAATAAGACAGCAATGAAGTTTGCTACATCAACTGATGCATCCTTTCATGAAAGATTTCTTTATGGCATGTGATATTGTTTGATAGCATTTTACCCACAGTAGAACTTCTTTCAAACTGGAGTCAAACTTCTCAAACCCTGCTGCTGCTTTATCAACTAAGTTTGCATAATATTTTAAATCATTTGTTTTCATTTCAACAATGTTCAGTATCTTTCACCAGAAGTAGATCCCATCTCAAAAAAATACTTTCTTTGCTCATCCATATGAAGCAATTCATCATTCACTGAAGTTTTATCATGAAATTGTAGCAATTTAGATACATCTTCAGACTCCACTTCTAATTCTAGTTCTCTTGCTGTTTCCACCATATCTTCAGTGATTCCTCCATTGAACCCTTGAGCCTCTCAAAGTTATATAAGAGGGTTGAAATCTTCTCCTAAATTCCTGTTAACTTTGATATTTCAGCTTCTTCTCATGAATTATGAATGTTCTTAATGGCATTAGAATGGTGATACTTTCTTGAAGAGTTTCAATTTACTTTGCCCAGGTCCATTGGTGGAATCACTGTCTATGGCAGCTACAGCCTTACACAATGTATTACTTAATTAATAAGAATTGAAAGTAAAAAATACTTCTTGATTCATAGGCTGTAAAACAGACGTTGTGTTAGCAGGCATGAAAACAACAATAATCTCCTTGTACACTGCTATCAGAGTTCTTGGTTGACTGGGGACATTTGTAAATGAGCAATAATATTTTGAGAAGATTCCTTTTGAAAGGAATCTTTTTTTCTGAGCAGTAAGTGTCAACAGTGGGATAAAAATATTCAGTAAATCAGGCTATAAATAGATGTGCTGCCATCCGGGCTTTGTTGTTCCATTTATAGAGCACAGGCAGAGTAGATTTAGTGCAATTCTTAAGAGCCTAGGATTTTTAGAATGATCAATGAGCATGGGCTTCAACGAAAAGTTGCCAGTTGCATTAGCCTCTAACAAGGTAATCAGCTTGTTCTTTAGAACTTTGAAGGCAGGCATTGACTACTCCTTTTTAACTATGAAACTCCTAGTTGGCATCTTCTTCCAATACTATATAAAGCTGTTTCGTATACATTGAATATCTATTGTTTAGTGTAGCCACATTTATCCATGATCTTCGCAAGATTTTCCAGATAACTTGTTACAGCTTCTACATCAGCACTTGCTGCTTTAGCTGGCACTCTTATGGTATGGATACTTTTTATTTACCCTTTAACATGATAAACCAATATCTGCTAGCTTCAAAATTCTCTTCTACAGCTTCCCCACTCTCAGCCTTCAGGGAATTGAGGAGACTTAGGACTTTGCTCTGGATTAGACTTTGGCTTAAGAAAATGTTGTTGCTGGTTTAATTTATCCAGACCACTTAAGCTTTCTCCATATCTGCAATAAGCCTGTTTCATTTCATTATTCATGTGTTCACTGGAGTAGCACTTTTATTTTCCTTCAAGAACTTTTCCTTTGGATTCACAACTTGGCTAACTGTTTGATACAAGAAGTCCTTCAGCCTATCTCAGCTTTTGATATGCCTTTTTCACTAAGCTCCATCATTTCTAGCTTTTTTATTTAAAGTGAGAGATGTGTCATTCTTCCTTTCACTTGAACACTTAGAGGCCATTGTAGAGTTACTAATCGGCTTAATTTCAATATTGTTTCTCAGGGAATAAGGAGGCCTGGGAAGAAGGAGAGAGATGGAGGAATGGCTGCTCAGTGGAACAGTCAGAACACACACAACATTTATAGATTGTGTGCCATCATTATGGACACAATTTGTGCTGTCCCAAAACAATTACAAGAGTAACATCAAAGATCATTAATCTTGGATCATCATAGCAGATATAATAATAATAATAAAGTTTGAAATGTGTGAGAATTAACAAATGTGACACAGACACAAAGTGAGCACATGCTGTTGAAAAAACAGCACCTATAGGCATGCTTGACACAGTGTTACCACAGACCTTCAATTTGTGAAAAATGCAATATCTGCAAAGTACAATAAAGCAAAGGACAATGAAAAAAGGTATGCTTGCATTTTTCTCTAGATCTATCCACTGGAAATATTTCAGGATATTTTCTTCTAGATTTCTTTTAAAATATGTATAAATAACTTTCAATACACAATTAGAATTATGCTACTTTTTTTGTTCTTTTTAACCAGAAAATTTTCACCTAACACTTTACACTTTAAATTCTAAGTATTTTCTAATGTTAGCATTGCTTTAAGTCTTTATCTAATATCTCAAGTCTAATAAAAATAATAACACTTATCTAGCAATTACTATGTACCTAGCACTATTCTAAGCACTTCACATCGGTTATCCCATTAAATCCTCAAAATCCAGGTGACGTGGACACTGTGTTTTTCCATATTTAAAATCTTAGAAATGGAAGGAGAGAGCTGTTAACTAACTTGTTCAGGATAACACCACTAGCAAATTCTAAAGTTGGGATTTGAGTCCAGAGGACCAGCTTCAGAGTTTGTGCAACGAATTATTACATAAGCCCCGCTTTGTTTATGTTTCCCATGGTTTCTACGTCAGAAATTTCCTCTCATAAAGATAAATTCAACACATAGCTTGTAGATTTGTACGCTATTCTTTAAAAATTAATCCCTTAATGCATCTGGAATTTATTTTGTTGTAAGGCATGAGATTAAGTATTTCCTTCAAACCATTTGGTAACTAATTTATTCATTCCACATTAAGTTGTTGCCATAAGTCAACATGTGTCTGTTTATTAATTTCCCTGCCCAGAATTGTGTAAAGCTCATATTCTTTTAAAACTTTTAATTCTACAAATGTTTAAATCTATTGTCGAGGAAGTTGACTAATCATTCTTCATTTTTAACATTTTCTTAGGTCTTTTCATCACTTTATTCTACAAAATAGATTTGGAATTATGTTGTCTACATCCAAAATAGGTCTTTGATTATAATTTCATTAAAACTATAAATTACTTGGGAAGAATTAATACCTTTAGGCTATTCAGTGTTTTTACTAAAGAAGATGCCATAATTTATTTATTTACATCTCTAATTTTTCCAATAGGACTTTAGTAGATTTTATCAACTCACAAATTATAAAATCTTCAATATGTAGATGAAGAAAATAGGGTAAGAGGAGAAAATAAAACATAAACTGTAATTATAAGTGAGGTCAATACACAAAATGCACTCCAACTGATTCTGCATACTTAGTGGAAGGACCCACAAATCTGTACGTAAGCATTGGCAAACATATCACAGAGAGGAGCTCAACAGTTTCCCTAAGATTTTTTAAAGTATCTAAAGTGAGAGAGCAATTTCTCCGATAGCAGGACTGAAGAGGTCCCTGAGTTGTAATGAACAGCATCTTCAAAGACATCTTTAGTACACTTTTGCACAGTATTTGATTGGCTATTGACTGTAGTGGAAACAATTCTGAAGCCTCACTGAAGCTTAATGAAAAGGGGTCTGAGATCACTTAATGATATCCAGTTCAGGGGTGAGTAAGTGAGCCCTTACTTTACCTGATAAGAGGAATAAATTTATGCACAGTTTTTTTTTAAACTCTTCCATAGAAATTATTTTATAAAATATATAAATTTACAGACTCAAGAAGCTAGGCAAACCCCAGACAAGATAATTCCAAGAAAACCAAACATAGACAGTTCACAATCAAAATAAGACCAAAAAAGTATGGAAAGTAGCCATGGGGGAGGTGTTGGAAGAAAGAAAGAGATATTCTCAGACGAAGAAAATTATGAGAATTTGTCTCCATGGTTCTTCCCTAAAAGAAATACTAAATAAAAATTTTCAAGTGAAGAAAATAATATCAGAGGAAAACACGGAACTTCAGGTATGATGGAGGAGCAACACACATGGTAAACATATTGGAAAATGTAATATATTTTTCCTTACATTTAAAAAAATATATTTCATGGTTATAATGAAAAATTATAACATTATCTAGGGAGAGGGTTTCATGTACATAGATATAACACACTTGGAAATTATAGGACAAAAGAGAAGTTAAGAGGCCTATGAGGTTGTAAGACCACTATGTTTTAGATGAAGTGGTAAAATATTAACTCTAAGAAGACTATTAAAACTTAGGCATGTATATTTTAATTCCTAGAGAAACCATTAGAAAGCAATACAAAGTGGTATTAGCCAAAAATCAATTAATAAGTAAAATGTAATGCTTCGAAAAATTCAAATACCCAGAAGAAGAGTGGGAAAGGGAGAACAGAGAAATAAAAATCCTACAAACAAAAATGGAAAAGTAACAAAATGGTTGACTTAACCTGACAATAAAATAATTACATTAATGTAAGTAGTCTAAACACACCAATTACAATACAGATTGTCAAAATGAATTTTAAAAATTCAACCACAAGCTACCTACAAAAAGATATCTTAAATAAAATGACATAGATTAATTAAAAGTAAAAAAGAAAAGATATAGGCCAGGCGTTGTGGCTCACGCCTGTAATCCCAGCACTTTGGGAGGCCGAGGCAGGCGGATCACGAGGTCAGGAGATGGAGACCATCCTGGCTAACACGGTGAAACCCCGTCTCTACTAAAAACACAAAAAATTAGCCGGGCGTGGTGGTGGGCACCTGTAGTCCCAGCTACTCGGGAGGCTGAGGCAGGAGAATGGCGTGAACCCCGGAGGCAGAGCTTGCAGTGAGCTGAGATCATGCCACTGCACTCCAGCCTGAGCGACAGAGGAAGACTCTGTCTCAAAAAAAAAAAAAAAAAGAAAAAGAAGAAAAAGAAAAGAAAAGATATAAAATTTATATGGACAATTAAAGGAACTAGAATAGTCAATAATTAGAAAAGAAAGACAAATTCAGAGAATTCACAGTATCGGATTTAAATTTCATTATGAAGCTACAGTAATGAAGACAGTGTGGAATTACCAAAAGAATGGGCACATAAATCAATGGAACAGACTAGAGAGTCAAGTTATAGACCTATACACAAAAGTGCAACTGATGTTTGAGAAAGATGCAAAACCAATTCAATAGAGAAAGAAGAATCCTTTCCACAAATGGTACTGGGTCATTTATTCATCCATATTCAAAAGATTAAAAAGATTAAACCTTAACATGCGCTGTATACTTTATACAAAAGTTGACTCAAAAGGGACCACCTAAATGTAAAATGTAAAACTAATGCAAAACGATAGGACAAAATCTTTGAGATCTTGGATTAAGCGACGACTGCTTAGACACAATACTAAACACATAATGCATAAAAGAAAAATAGGATTAAATGGCTTTATGAAAGTTAAAAATATTTGGTTTATGGAAAACGTTAAGAAAATAAAAAGACAAGCCACAACAAACTCAGAGAAAAGGTTTGCAAATGAAGAAGCCGCAAAACTTAACAATAAGAAAATCCAATAAAAATAAGCAAAAGATTTGAATAAACACTCCACCAAAGAAAATATACAGATGGGAAATACACACATGAAAATATGCTCAACATCATTAGTCATTAAGGAAATACAAATTAAAAGCAGAATAGTATTCCACTACTCATCTATTAGAATGATGAAAACACACACAACAACAAAAATATATGTGTTAATACCAAGTGTTGACAATGATGCAGAAGAACAACTAGGACTGTCATATATGACCAGTGTAAATGCAAAGTGGTATCGCCACTAAGAAAAATGTCTTGACAGTTTCTTACAAAGTTAACATATAATTACTTTCTACCCAGAAATTCACTCAGAGGTATTTCAGTGAAATAAAAATGTATGTTCACAGAACAACATTTTGACAAATGTTTATACAGCTTCACTTACCGAAAATTAGAAGCTATCCAAACATTCCTCATCTGTGGAATGAATAATCAAATTGTGTCGATTTTATTTTTAATTTTATTTTAGGTTCCAGTATACATGTGCAGGATGTGCAGGTTGTTTGCATAGGTAAACGTATGTCATGATGGTTTGCTGCACCTATCAACCTACCACCTAGATATTAAGTCCTGCATGCATTAGCTATTTATCCTGATTCTCTCCCTTCCCCCCGCACCCCAACACAGGCCCCAGAGTGTGCTGTTCTTCTCCCTGTGTCCATGTGTTCTCGTTGTTCAGCTCCTACTTATAAGTGAGAACCTGCGGTGTTTGGTTTTCTGTTCCTGTGTTAGTTTGCTGAGGATAATGGCTTCAGCTCCATTCATGTCCGTATAAAGGACATGATCTCACTCCTTTTTATGGCTGCATAGTATTCCATGGCGTATGTGTGTATTTTCTTTATCCAGTCTGTCATTGATAGGCATTTGGGTTGATTCCATGTCTTTGCTATTGTGAATAGTGCTGCAATGAACACACATATGCATGTATCTTTATAATAGAATGATTTATATTCCTTTGAGTATATACCCAGTAAAGGGATTGCTGGGTCAAATGATATTTCTGCTTCTAGGTTTTTGAGGAATCGCCACACTGTCTTCTACAATGGTCAAACGATTTACATTCCCACAACAGTGTAAAGGCATTCCAAAAAGGTATGAACTACTTATGCCCAACACAACATGCAGGTATTTCAGTACATTATGCTGGCTAAAGGAAGTCAGACTCAAAAGTCTACATGTGTGTAATTTCTTTTATTTGATATTCTAGAAAAGGCAACACCATAGGGATGGAAAACAGTTCAGTGATACCAAGCGTTAAGGAAGTTGGCCTGACAATTAAGTGGCAGCCATGGACAACTTTTTGAAGTGGGGGAGATTTGATGAAATTTTTCTGTACCTTGCTTATGGTAGTCATTACATGACTCTGCATATTTGTCAAATCTCACATAACTACGCAACAAAAAGATTGAATTTTATCGTATATAACTTAAAAATGTATGTTTTAAAATTTAAAATATCCCCCAAACTTTCTATTTGAGTTAGGAAACTGAAGGCAGATTAATATGTAGTGCTTTTTACTTAAAAGAGAATGAAAAATTCACTATCTTTAGCTCTCTTCATTATCCTAACATTTCATCTTACCAAAGTAAAGAATAGAATTGTTGCCTTCCTATTATAAGGACATCAATATACTCAGTAGTGTTGCTAAAATGCTCTGTCAAAGGGATGGGAGGTAAAAAGGAAGAGAAAATATGCTCTTTGACAGATAATTGCTCCTACATCTATGGTTGTTCTATAAGTAAGGGAGTTGCTATCTTGGTAGTTTTCCAAATAGAATTGTCTGACAGCAAGAATCCATGAAGCCACTGACTGATTAATGAGCATGAAAACACAGGAGGCTACTGTCTTTATTAATAGTGAAAAATATAGGCTCTATGAATAAACTGAGCAAAAGACACATATTGTGTGACTCATTTTCTCTATCTCCACTTTATTGTTTGCAAGAACTGCATAGTAATGAAAAATAAACTTTCACAAATAACATATAGGTTTTTGTGTTTGTTTTTGTTTATTTGTTTTGGTGGGAAATATGGATGTAGCGTTGTGGGATCAGCTTGATTCAATCCTATAAAACCATTTATAAATCATTTAACTCAAGATGGATTAAAGACTTAAATGTAAAACCTAAAACCATAAAAACCCTAGAAGAAAACCTAGGCAATACCATTCAGGATATAGGGATGGCAAATACTTCATGACTAAAACACAAAAAGCAACGGCAACAAATGCCAAAATAGAAACATGGCATCTAATTAAACTAAAGAGCTTCTGCACAGCAAAAGAAACTACCAGCAGAGTGAACAGGCAACGTACAGAAGGGGGGAAAATTTTTGCAATCTACCCATCTGACAAAGGGCTAATATCCAGAATCTATAAAGAACTTAAACAAATTTACAAGAAAAAAACAACCCCATCAAAAAGTGGGCAAAGGATATGAACAGACACTTTACAAAAGAAGACATTTATGCAGCCAACAGACACATGAAAAAATGCTCATCATCACTGGTCATCAGAGAAATGCAAATCAAAACCACAGCGAGATACCATCTCACGCCAGTTAGAATGGTGATCATTAAAAAGTCAGGAAACAACAGATGCTGGATTACACTCTTGGTGGGAGTGAAAACTAGTTCAACCATTGTGGAGGACAGTGTGGCGATTACTCAAGGATCTAGAACCAGAAATACCATTTGACCCAGCAATCCCATTACTGCGTATACACCCAAAGGATTATAAATCATGCTACTATAAAGACACGTGCACATGTATGTTTATTGCAGCACTATTCACAATAGCAAAGACTTGGAACCAACCTAAATGTCCATCAGTGATAGACTGGATTAAGAAAATGTAGCACATATACGCCATGGAATACTATGCAGCCATAAAAAAGAATGAGTTCATGTCCTTTGTAGGGACATGGATGAAGCTGGAAACCATCATTCTGAGCAAACTATCACAAGGGCAGAAAACCAAACACCGCATGTTCTCACTCATAGGTGGGAACTGAACAATGAGAACACTTGGACACAGGGCAGGGAACATCACACACTGGGGTGTGTCATGGTGTTGGGGCGGGGTGTAGGGATAGCATTAGGAGAAATACCTAATGTAAATGACGAGTTAATGGGGGCAGCAAACCGACATAGCATATGTATACTTATGTAACAAACCTGCATGTTGTGCACATGTACCCTAGAACTTAAAGTATAATAAAATAAATAAATAAACAAATAAAAAATCCTATAAACAATATCTGAAGTAGTTAACGTCAGTCTTTAACTTCTCAGCATTTCTTTTCCTGAACCGTCGTTACTTACCTTACTCCACATCTGCCTCTCTTTATTCTGTCCATTAGAAGAAAATAAAATGTTTTTTACTCTAGATGTGTTATGGATTTTGCCAATTCCTCCCTAACACTTTTAGTCTTAGTGGAACTGGCAACTCCACCAGGTTCTTAACCACATTGACAGCTGTTCCTAAAACTAGCTAGTCAAATGGAAAAAATATCCAAGTAGATATATAGAAATTATATGCAACTGTTTTCTTATAATTAATTTTCAGTCCTCAATCTTTGCTGCTCTTATTCCCCCATGCCCAGGTTACATTGTTCTGGTGGTCATGGAAATAGTAGAGACCAAGAGAGTTAATAGAACAATAATTAAAACATAGAACTTATATGTAAATATAGGTTCAGATGCATAATTATTTTACTCTGTATCAGATCATTCTTTGTTAATTTCACATCTCCCCATTTAAACAGAAGTTCTCTAAAGAAAAAAGACAAATGTTCTAATTTGAATAATTTTCTGAGTGTCTAAGTGTTGATCTCTAAATTAACTGTTGATGAATAAATACGAGGATTTATTAAAACTTAAACAACATACCACTTTCTTCCTCTGCTCAATTTACTGAGCTGTGCCCCAGATATATTAAAAAACCAATGTTTACAATGAGTGTCAGTGTTTAGGATCCAGAGATCAGGAATGAAAGGTGTGTGGACAACACAGGAGGGAAATATAAGAGACAATGACCATGAAATGGGAAAACAGGTTAATCCTTGAGACCTTTAGAAAAAAATAAATGGGGAGATTGAGTGGCCAGTGTTTTCTACAATGTCACTCTAGTAGGAAACTCCAGTAAACAACTCCTTTGTCTCTACTTCTGGAATTTCCCCAGCCTCCTGCTTATTCCATAGTAGCCATCTCCTCCCCTCATGTCCCGTAATCTTGTCCCCATCCCCTATCAAGTTCAATTTCCCTGTATCAGATCATTATCAGAGGCTTAGATCTCAAGGAGTCTCTGCTTTAACTACTCAGAACGTGGTTTGTTAATGGAAAGGAGTCTAATATTTCTCTAATAGAATAAACTGTTTCTTTGAAATACAACTATAAATATATGTCTCCCAGACAAACACTATAGTATAGTTATATTAATACAATACTATACCTCAGGTATATTTGGATTTGATGGAATCACCAAGAGACACAAGATCCTATATAATATTTTATCCCAAAGGAAAATGTCTTCCAACTTCTGAACAACTGATTTATAATCAAACTTTTGGAACAAATACCAATGGGCAGCAATTTCAGATAGATGTATTTGTATCTGCTTTGCCTTCTTCATTACTAAAACTTTCTGGACACTAGGAACAAGGCTAAATCATTTACTAGATTAATAAGGAAGATAGACAATCTACTTTGTTCCATAAGCCAGGCTCTAGATAAGAGGAAATTAATCACCATCAGTGTGTCTTTTATATAGAAATTTGGCTGTGCTCTATGCTTGGCCATTTCAAAAGAAACTAAACAGATCTACTTTCTTCCCTCTGGGATCTTAAAATCAAATATAGGCCATTTTAATGAAGCCATAGAGATCCAGGAAACACATAAATGAAATGAGAAGTATTTATCAGTCAAGAAATAAATTGACTTAAATGAAAGCTAATCTTCTTAAAAGGATAATCCTCAAAGCACTCTGAATGACTACAATGCATCCCTTTGCAACAGAGTGATGGGCTGCATCGGTGTTGGTCTCGCTGAAGCACCTTGCTTTCCCATCTCTCAAACTATGGAGGCCTTTTCCCTGCATCCAGAGCATCATTGTCACCAGGGATCCACTCTCAGACTTAACACTGCACCTGTAAGGAGATATTTTTTTTGAGACGGAGCCTTGCTCCGTCGCCAGGCTGGAGTGCAGTGGCCTGTAAGGAGACTTTAAAAACTAATCAGACTCTCTTGAGTCCCTCTAGTCATTCCAGACCTGAAGCTTTATCTTCCATTTTGAAAATAATGAATTCCTTTATTGTGGTATGTTGATTTGGTTAAAGAACATTAAGAAAATCTGGCCTCATAAAAATTGGAAAATGGAGGAGTGTTTTAATAACCTTTTTAAGATAATGTGATACTGTGCTAGAACCTGATAAATGGTAGTTTCTCATAGGTTATGTGCAATATGAAATCTGAAATCAATAAACTTTATATACTCTCACATTAAGTTGATTTGTCTATTTTGAAATTTTGAATAAAACTTTTATTTATGAAGATTTGGAAACATCGCGCATTGGTCATTTAGAAAATACTGGATCACTGAGTTATACAGAGCTTCTAAATGTTGATATATTTTATTATACAATATAAAAACTTACACTTGTTAATATATCTAGCAATCTTTTTAGAAAAGTCTTTATGTATTAGGAAGCTGAGAGGCTCATGCTCGTGGATACAGATTTTCTTACATTCTAATTTTTACTTTTGCTTTCTAGCTGCATGCAGTGGCTCATGCCTGTAATCCTAGCACTTTGGGAGGCTGAAGCAGGAGGATCAGTTAAGCCTAGGAGATCAAGGCTGAATTAGCCATGATCATACCACTGCACTCCAGCCTGGATGACAGAGTAAGACCCGACTTCAAAGAATAAAAAAAAAGATTTCTAATTGCAGTATTTTCAGAAGTGTGCTATGGTTGATTTGCAATGACTTATGCAACCTTATTATTTTTTCCCTGCTCTGTGTTTAATGACATTAAATGTTTGATAGCTTGAAATAGTCAGGCCAGGAGTATTTACACCACAACAATTGGCTACAAATCTACAAATTACGCTTTTTTTCCCCCCATAGAGCTAGTTGTTAAACATTTTTCAGCATAGAACTGTTTGTTTCCTTGAAATGACAGGCTTACATGTTATTGAAAAGATATTTTCTACCAAATACCCTATATTTGAATAAATATGTTTGTCTGAAAGCTGTCTTTAAAAAATGAAAATATTTTATGAAAAAGCAGTTAATTAATATTACAATTCAAACTATTAGACAAGTGCTTCTCCTCAGGAAAATCAATATACTTTTTAGTATACAGTATGCTTTATGTATATTTCCCTTTCCTTGAAATAGAATAATAAGAAAGACATTTCAAATGTCAAAATGTAATAAAATTCATAATT
This sequence comes from Homo sapiens, assembly GCF_000001405.40. NCBI lineage: Eukaryota > Metazoa > Chordata > Mammalia > Primates > Hominidae > Homo > Homo sapiens. Next base: position 93,702,794 of record NC_000007.14, on the reverse strand, counting down.
TTTTACTCTTCCATCAAAACATTCCTAAAGAGCTCAAAGTTTTACCCACCATTTCTTTTCAAAACTAGCATAAATGTCAATATGGTGGAAAATGCAAATGGCATTTTAGCATATATATGCAAATATTTTTTTGAATCCTCTGAAAGTATCTCAGGATCTCCAAGTTTCTATAGTCTACCCTTTGAAAATCACTGTTTTAGACAGCAAATACCTAAAAAAAATGTTACCACAATACTCTCACTTAAAGAGTCTTAAAAAAAATGCCTAAATAAGGACAATGTTATCAGCAGGAGAATTTGAGATGCAATTCAAGAAAGAATAATGAAAAAGTGGGCGTGAAATAAATGAAAATTCATATGAAATAATTAGTGTGAAATAACAAGAATGGATATATTGAGGGGTTAAATAAGCAAGAGGGAACTAAAACAGTAAGCAATAAAAGCTTTTAATTCAGGAGATAAGACAATTAAAAACAAGATATTTGAAATTCTTGATTTGTTTCAGAAGAGAGACAATATATTAACTTTTAACTATGGTAAATCTAATATGAATGCTAAAATTTTCCGTGGAACCAGTAAAATATTTTTAAAATCTATATATCCTACATTATCTTATGCATAGACAGAAGAAAAATTAAAAGAAAAGTGTAAAGAGGGAAAAAGTACTGAAAAAGGTCAAAACAATGTTCCTAAATATATATGTAATTAAAACTAACAAAAGATCAATTAACTTACTTCGTTGAAAGGAAAGATTGAGGATTTCCACCTTTGTGTGTGATAACGGTAGTTTGTAAAATACTAGCCTTCCATTGAGAATAATTGCTGGTTGTACAAAAATGAATCAACAAACACCTGAATACATCAAAGAGCAGCAGATGCAAGCAGAGCTTGAGAAGCCTAGATTCCTGAGAGAATGAAAATTCAGTGAGGTGACCATGTCATTCTCTGCCCCTTTTCTCCTTGAAGCATTTGCTAATAACATTGTTATTAACCTAGAGATGTAGCAGAAAGCAGCAGTCTTGATTCTCATTCTCACAACACTGTGGAAAGAAATATCAGAGTTAAAAGCTATCAAGAGAGCAAAATCTGTGACAGAGTGAGACTCCATCTGGAAAAAAAAAAAAAAAAAAAGAGAAAGAGAGAGAGAGCAAGAGCTGGAGGGACCAAGATCCACAGAGAATAAGTCCAATAGTCTGAATTGCTTTTTCTCTTGACACATTTTCTAAATCGTATGTGGGGTGAGATAAGAGATTTAAAAGCTGAGAAACAGTTCTCTTGTGAAATTCTATACTTTGACATTGATTTTCTTGACCCTATGAATAACAATTGTTTTAATGTCCACATATAATGCTTCCAAAATCTAGTTCATCTGTGGACCTGTTTCTATTATCTGCTTTCTGCTTTGTTTTTGATCATTTTTGTATTTTTATTTGAATACTGAAAACAATGTATGTGATGTAGTAGATTATCTGTTTGTTGCCATCTTTGCCCAGAGGTGATTTAATTTTCTTCTGCCTGTCAGTTAGAATAGGACAGTACCTTACTTGTGCAATAGGAACATTTGCATATTGACTTTTTTTTTTTTTTTTTTTTGAGAAGGAGTCTCACTCTGTCGCCAGGCTGAAGTGCAGTGGCGCAACCTCGGCTCCCTGCAACCTCCGCCTCCTGGGTTCAAGTGATTGTCCTGCCTCAGCCTCCCGAGTAGCTGGGACTACAGGTGTGCGCCACCATGCCCAGCTAATTTTTATATTTTTAGTAGAGATGGGGTTTCACGAGGTTGGCCAGGATGGTCTCCATCTCTTGACCTCGTGATCTGCCAGCCTTGGCCTCCCAAACTGCTGCGATTACAGGTGTGAACCACCTCACCCAGGCAATAAACTTTTTAATCAAAAGAAATATATCATAATTCTAAACTTATTTATACTCAATGGCATAGTTTTAAAATTTATCAAGCAGAAAATAAGCAGAACAACAAATAAAATAAACAATTCCACCATTTAACACATCTTTTTCAGTAATCTATAAATCCAAAACACAATCCCCAGTAAAGGCATATATTGAACAATAAGATGGATAAATTTGAACTAATGAAATGTGAACACTACATTAATAATTAAGTTGTATACATTTTTAAGTTAACCAAGAATGTTTACTAAAATTGGCCAGGCATTAGGCCATTAATCAAGTCAATATATTTTAATCTAACAGATTATTTTCTCTGACCAAAATGTAATTTAAATAGAAATCAATCACAAAATATATCTTTAAAAACAATATATATTTGGCTATTTAAACACTCTCATAAATAATTCATAGACAAATATTATATCAAAAATTAGAAAATATCCAGAATTAAATAATAAGGAAACTAGAGCATCTCAAAACATGTAGGATGTATCCAAAAAAATATAAGGAGGAAATTTTATACACTTAAAATATCATGTTTAGAAAAAGAAGACTAAAAGTGAATGAGCTAAGCTTTCAATTTAAGTTTGGAAAAGTCTAGCAGAATAAACCTAGGGAATGTAGAAGGAATAAATATAAATGACCTAAGCAAGCATTACACACCTATTAAAATGGTCAAAGCTGAGAACACTGACACTAAGTGCTGGAAAAGATAAGAAGCAACAGGAACTCTCATTCATTGCAGTATATTGGAGGTGTTAGAAAGTTCAAAATTATAAGAGGGCAGACATGGAAAAGAAATAGAAGAGAAGCAAGACTAAATTATTTACAGTTTATATGAGTTGTCTACATATAAAATCCAAAAGAATGCATAAACAAATATCAGGATGAATAAAACAAGTCAGCAGTGTCACTGGATATAAGATCAATATGTGAAAATCAATTGCATTCCTATACACCAATATCAAGGAGTTAGAAGATGTAATTACAACGAAAGATATCATGTTCAATAGCAGCAAAGGCTACAAGGTGTCTCAAGTACCTAGTAGTAAACCTAACAATGGTATTATAAAACACTTCTGGAAGACATTCCAAAAGAGCTACGTAAAATAACAGCCAGCATAAAGAAGGAGCTGACAAAAGATGAGGCTGGAAATGTAGTTAGGGTCAGATCATGATGGGTATTTGAGGTCCTATTAAGTGGTTAGAAATACTTCTGAGAGCAATGAGTAGCTATTGACGGGGTTTAAGTAGTGTATAAACATGAACTACATTAAACGGTGATCATTCTGCCAATGGTATGGTAAATAAAGAGGGGCAACATTTGAGATAAAGTAACAAACTAGGAGGTTATTTGAGTTTTCCTGGTGTGACTGAAGGTTACCTGAACTACAGTGGATGCCCAAAATGTTATTTGTGGTCTGATCCCTGTCTACCTCTCCAGCCCCATCCTTTATCAATCCCACCTTGTACTCTATGTCCTGGATATTCTTGTAATTCAGTGAAATCTACATGGCTTCTTATACCTCCAGACCTGTTGTGTAACTGTCTGGTGGGACATCTCCATGCTCCTCTTCCCTGATTTTGCTCTGGATAGTATATATATCAAAATAGTTTTTATGAATCCTCTGAAAGTACCTCAGGACCCCCAAGGTTCTATAGTCTATCTATACTTTGAGAACCACTGCTTTAGACAGCGAAAACCTAAAAAAAAAATTACTGCCATTATACTCGCACTTAAAGAGTCTAAAAAATATTGCCTGAAGACGGAAGATGTTATCAGCAGAAGAATTTGAGATGCAATTCAAAAAGAATAATGAAAAAGTAAACATTAATTAAATGAAAATTCATATGAAATAATTAGTATAATTTGTATAATATTTTTAAATCCTAAGTATGGGATTTTAAAATATTGGTTGAGATAAGAAATAGAAAGGAGAGGGGAGGAGAGGGAAGAGAATTTTACCCATTGTTTAATATTTCAAAGCCTTTTCAGATTCCAAACATAAGACCAATGATCACTTGTTTAGTGCCACTGTGAAGCTTTAGTCTGTCTGGAAAATGTAGCTCATTAAGATTTCTACTTGCATAACCTTAACTTTGAGTGGAGGAAGTGGTGATTGTTGCCCTCAACAAGGGTATAAAGCAGGAGCTGGTCAACTGTGGCTTGTAGGCCGGGCATGGTGGTACACGCCTGCAATCCCAGCACTTTGGGAGGCCAAGGCAGGTGGATCACCTGAGGTTGGGAATTCGAGACCAGCCTGACCAACATGGAGAAACCCTGTCTCTAATAAAAATACAAAATTAGCCTGGCGTGGTGATGCATGCCTGTAATCCCAGCTACTCGGTAGGCTGAGGTGGGAGAATCACTTGAACCCAGGAGGCGGAGGTTGCTGTGAGCAGAGATCTTGCATTGCACTCCAGCCTGGGCAACGAGGACGAAACTCCATCTTAAAAACAAAACAAAAGAAAAAACAAAAAAACAAAAACTATGGCCTGTAGACCATATCTGGCCTTTTATTCTGTTTTGTAAAGATATATTAGAACACAATGGTGTTTATTCATTACATAGTATCTATGACTGCTTTCATTCTACAACATGAGAGCTAAATAGTTGTGATGTAGACGATATGGCCCATAATGTCCAAAATACTGACTACCTGGCCTTTTATCAAAAAACTTTGACAACTCCTGGTATAAGAAGCCAGAGCTCTCATGATCAGTTGGGAGTGCAATCAAGGCTATCTCCTGAGGACAGAATAACACAATGGAACCTCTGTTTATTCCTTGGTGTAGTAGATTGTGTTAGGCAAGATAACAAGGCACCTTGGGGCAATAGAATCATTGTACACACACACACACAAAACAAAGTAAAAGTGACAGACTAAAAGAGAGAAGGAGAGAGAGAGAGAGAGCCACTCACAAGAGTTAATGGCTGAATAGTGTCAGACATAATCATCATACCAAGCCTAGGCTTTTCCCTTGTTATTTTAAAATTAAATCTCATGCTTATGAAAGATATGAGGCTGATAGTCTCGGAGGCTGCTCTGTTTTTATTTTAAGAAATAAATAGCTTATCCGAGGCTATGAAGCTCTTATTATCAATGTGTTTCCTTTTACAAAGATGAAGTTAAAACCACTATGAAATATTACCTCATATCTGTCAGAATGGCTATTATCAAAAAGATAAAAGATAACAAGTGTTGGTGAGGGTGTGGAGAAAAGGGAACCCTTGGACACCATTGGTTGGGAAAGTTAATATAGTCATTGTAGAAAACAATATGGAGGTTCCTCAGAAAATTAAAATGAGAGCTACCATATGATCTAGCAATCCCACTTCTGGAGATATATCCAAAGGAAATGAAATCAGTATGTTGAGGAGATATTTGCACTCACAGGTTTATTGCAGTATTATTCATAATAGGCAAGATACGAAATCAAAGATTTTTTACCTTTTGGGGCAATGACACATTTGTATCAACTACAGTTATTTCTTCAGGAGGGCTTTTTTGTTGTTTTTTGTTTTGTTTAGAGACCAGGTCTCACTCTGTCACCCAGGCTGAAATGTAGTGGCACAATCAAAGTTTACTGCAGCCTCAAACTCTGGGGAGCAAGTAATCTGCCTCTAGACTCAGCCTCCTGATTATCTAGGACTACAGGCGTGCACCACAATGCCTGGCTAATTTTTATTTTTTAATTTTTATAAAGAGGTGTGGTTGCCCAGGCTGGTCCAGGAAAGCTTCATTATGTAGATTATTTTTAGGGATCTTGATTTAATCTAAACCAAAGGGCACACCGATAATTTACATAATTTATTATGGCTATGTTATCATTTTCAAGAATTCATATAAAAGCCTAAGACCATTTTAATATTGGAAAAATCATACTTAGTACCCATTTGTCAAAGAATGAAAAGTGATGACTCTTAAAATATCATACTGATTAGTTTTACTTGGATGCTTCAAAGAATAATTAAACAAACCATCAATTAATCATTTTGCAATTACATAAAAAATAACTCCCTGAGACAAATGTTAACATAGTTTTGTGACAAGCTATTTTTTTATCTGTTCTTATAGGGCGGCAAAATTATGTCTTTCAGTATTTCAAGCAAATATTGGTACATTTGTTCTTTATCGAGCAGTGTTTACTTCACTACACATCTATCTTTTATATGTCTTAAGATCTTCTTAAAAAGGTGTGTGTTAACATAAGTCCTAGTAACATATGTCAAGAACATGTGTTTTTTTAATAGTACAAATCCAGATAAAACCCTAGCCCTTTAATTGTATTTTCTTTTTAAATTACTTTATCTCTCTAAATTTTAGTTTTTTACCTAAAAAATGAAGATAATGACAGTACTTATCTCACAGGTTTATTGTGAGGATTAAATGAGTTAATAAATGTAAAGCTATATCACATTTTCTGACATATCGTAAGTACTCAAAAATATTAGTTATTATTTTAATGCTACCGATATTGGAGAAGCTAACTATGGGTTTTACCACACGTAACAGCTTTTTGGTGAAATCAGTTGTTATACTAATAAGCTTTCCTCTAATTGATTTGAGTTTTGGTTTTTGTGTTTGTATTTGCGGGTTTTGTCTCTTTTGTTTTCTTGTTTTTAGTAAATTGGTTTTTCTTCAATGTATTTTCTTAAAGTAGTCTAGCTTTACCCAGTTTCCTTGGCAAATTGAAATTTGGACCACAATTACTTGGCAATATCTTTTAATAGACATGGCAAACCTATAGCACACATGCCACCACTTCACTCTCCCACTCCAGGAAAAACATCATTAATCAATGACAGCACTTCTTTTCCAACAGTTCTAATGCAGGCTCAGAATCCTTCTCAATATATCACTTCTGGAAGGCAAGAGCAGCAGATCAAAGATAATATATGAGCTGAAATCTGGTTGGCATCCCCGATTTAGGGGTTCGTGCCTGTTGAATTCTCATTCTCTAATCTTTTCTCTTTCAGTACCTTCCATTCCTTTTAGTTCTTCTATTCAACACATACCTTTTTATCTGCCTGAGCTTATCAGTGATTTTTATCTACCAGTGATTGCCACCCACCCATCATATCTAAGATCCACTACTAACACAGACACTAAGATGTTCCTTATAAAATTTCTACACCACAAGGAGCTGTTCTTACGGAGTTTACAGTCTAGTAGATTATATACACATTAACATAGGGTCACACTTAAACTTTTTAAATTATAGTTAAATTAAATGCTGTGAAAAGAAAGTATATAATGGGGGTCCTGATTAAATCTAGTGAATCAGAAAAGGCTTCCTTAAAGTAGTGGTGTTTTTGCTGAAATGTAAAAGATGAATAGGACTCAAATAGATGCAGGAGTCAGTGAGAGGTAAGAGTACTCCAGAGAGGTCAGTCTGACTGAAGGCTGAGAGATAAAGGGAGTTCAGTATGAGCAGGTCAGTGGTAGGAACTTAGATTGAGGGTAGTAAGACATGTGGCCAAATCAGCTAAGGGCATTGTGAGCACATTAAATATTTGTGATTTTATCATAAGAACTAGTTGAAACCTTTAAAAGAATTAAGCAAGAGAGTGAAATAATCAGATTTGTGTTTTTAAAGATTATTCTGGGCACCATATGATAGACCGATTAAAGAGGAATAAGAATTGTATACACGAAATCTAAATGGGAAGTTATTAGAGTAGTCAAGTAAGAAATGATAGTAACAGATAACGGAGAGAAGTAGAGAAAGGAAAGTTATTTAAGAGATAAAATCAACAAAACATTACAATGTATTGCATATGATAGCTAAGGAAAAGGGAGGTCATGGATGATTTCTGGGTTTTGGCTTGTAAAATTGGGGGCATGTGATGCTACTCACTGAGTTAAGAAATGCTGTATAAGGATCGTGCTTGAGTGGAAGAACATGTGCTCAGTGTTAGCCAATCTTAGGTGGCTACATATTTGAAATCTCCACACAGTGACAAGTATGCGGTTCAATACATAGCTCTGAAACTCAACTAAATTTATTTAGAAGGCCCCACTCCTCCAGAAACACAAAAGCATTTCCTCTTTCTCCATAATAGATTATCTAGGGCAATTTTGGAAAGAGGTGATAGGAAAATTGGAGAATAAGTTACAGGCAATATGCAGATGCCCATGACCACTTAGCCAGGATGTCAGCTAGAGTGACTACTAGAGCTCAAAGGGGAGCTCTGACACAGACACATAAATTTGGTATTCATTGATGTATAGTGATCACTTAAGTTATGTGTGTGGATAATAGTATACAAAGAGATAGATAGTTAAAATAGTGATGAGAAATGGCCCTAGAACTCAAGTTTGAGATCTCTGATATTTAGAGGTCAGGTAGATAAAAAGAACCCTACAGAAGAGGAGAAGTGCTTAAGGAATAGAAAGACAAATAGGAAAGAAACGAGAAAAAAACAATATAGTGTCATGGAAACCAAGAAGAGAACGTATTTAAGAAAACAGGGCAAAGTTAAGAGCATCAAGTGTTGCTGATCAAGTCAAGGTGAGGTTTACATTTCAACATAGAGGTCACTGGGAGATCCTACATGGGAGCTAATGGTGGGGTTTGAAACTAGATGAGAACTAACTGAAGACTGATGTGAGAGGGGATGGCAACTGGAAGCACAAAGGAGAGGAGAATCACTGGGAGGAGGAAGATACCAGGGAAGCTTGGTTTGTTGTTTTAGATGGGAAAGATTTGAGCATATTCATATTCATTAAATAGACCCTGTGTAAAAGGAATATTGGAAAAGAAGCAGAAATAAGAGGTATTGGATAGCTAAAGGCTCCTGGGAAGGACAAGGTGATGTGGAAGTCAGAGCACAAGTGATGGCGTTAGTCACAGGTACCTCCTCTCACATGACGGGAGAGGAGAAGCAGAGAATAGGGCAGGCGGAGGTACGTGTGGGAGTCACATTTTGAGAGAGTTACTCAAAAGTCAGATAGCGTACACATGTGGGATTGTCCTCACATGAACAGCTTGAGGCTTATGCGAAATAAGTCTAAATTTCTGCTCTAGAGATGATTAATATCCAACACTCCTCCCCTGACCTCTATATATTTTTAAATAATCAGCAGACTCTTTCTAATGTGCTCTTAGGAAATTAGAAGAAAGCAGGAGTCAGAGGGTTCTAAAATGTTCTGGTCACTTTAAAACATCCACAAGGTGCTCTTTTAAAATCATAAAGAAACTGAATCCTCTTCAAATTGGCAGAAACAGGAAAACCGTTGGTGTAACTCTGCCTTCCCTTGTCAGTGGGCATAAAAAGTTTTGCTCCTTCAAGCAATATGGCTTGGCCTCAAAGATTTTCTTGTTACAGTAGGTAGCTAGTCAGACATGAGCAGGGCAGGAGAGGTCCCTGGACCTCACTACCACAAGAAATGTCGGGCAACCATCAGGTGATGGTCAGGCAGTTATTAAACTATCTCTCTAAAATAATAATGCTCACAATAAAATAATAATAATTAGTCACAGCTGGCTTCAGGGGAAGGCGGTCCCCCAACAGATAGAAGCACCTGAAACTGGTGATCAGCATCTTCCCAATTAGATCTCAGGAGTTGGGTGAGTAGCATGTGTACTAAGAGACAAAAGGGCAGAATCAGGCTGGTGGATCACTTGAGGTCAGGAGTTTGGGATCAACCTAGCCAATGTAGCTAGAAATACTAAAATGTCTCTGCTAAAAATACAAAAATTTAGCCAGGAGTGTTGGTGCACGCCTGTAAGCCCAGCTACTGGGGAGGCTGCGATGTGAGAATCACTTGGCAGCGATTGCAATGAGCTCAGATCATGCTACTGCACTTTGGCCCAGGCAACAGAGGGAGACTCCATCTCAAAAAAAGTAATGTAGGGAAACTGAGTCATAACACCACTCTTTAGCTGTTGTGCCAATGCAGTACTGGCCTTGATGAGAAGCTTCTGCACCAACTGGGATTGCACCAGCTCCTTCATGTCCTGTTTCCTATCTCATCTCAAAATAACGACCACAGTGAGTTCCAACTAGAACTAACTTCGGTGATCTCACTAACAACCCATTTTCTGTAATAAAAATAGCCAGAAATTGTGTAAAAGAACAATAGGTACTAAATGTGGGCAAATAGTTCAATATATTTTCTGGGTCAAACAGATTGATGCATGAATTTGGGTCACAAGTTTCTGCTTTGTTGCCTCTGGTCACGGTGTTTTTGAAGAAGAGCCATTTCTGACACTGGGTGGCTGAGGCTTGGAGGCATTTAGGACAAAGCCATACTGGCGCAATTATATTTCTGAGAAATGCAACTGAGCACAGAGATAACCAAAAGGGTTGCAATTCATCCTGCACATGGTAGGACCAGCAAGGGCCTCACCACACCGTGGAAAAGTGTCCATTGGGCTTTATAGGTTCAAGCTTCAACAGGGGCTCTGCATGGTTACAATATGAAGCATGAGAGTAAATTGGTCAGTCTTTCTGTCTTTGATTTACCTGGTCCTGGGAAAGAGGTCTGATTACTCCTTCACTTCCTGCTTTTGGTGCCCTGAATTATCCCATCATGTGTCTGGGAAATTGAGGAAGGTTGTTATCTTCAAGAGAGTAATACTAGGCTACTACTCTAAGATGGGATTTTTAAATTTTTTTTAGAAACTAAGTTTGACTGTATTTGTACCCAAATTAGTGAAAATAAATCAATAGTAAAAACCAAATTACTGTCACCAGATTACTGTCAAACTCATAAATTCAGGGTCTTTTGTTAGCCATATGTTGTGCAAGTCAGGACCTTTCAGAACACCGCTATGATGTTAGAACCCACGTGAAGCTCCACTTTTATCATGTGTTAATGTTTAGAATGAATTCCTTAATATTTTGCAACTCAGGTAAGAGACAGACTTTAATAAGTAAAGGAGAATTTACAAAACTAAGGTCACATACATACTTCAATGACCCATCGCCATCTTACAGAGGGGCAAATGGGAGCCTGAGCAATCTGCTGGAACTCCAGATGAATCCAAGTTAGAGCAGAGAAGAAATGTCTCCTGGCCATCTCTCTCATTTCTTGTAGGGCAAGCATGAGAACAACCTTCCCAGCCAGTCGAGACTAGAGTGCCAAGTATTTACAGCAGCCATCTGGGAATAGTATCTGCCCAGCATTTTTATAGGACTGCACAAATCTCCACTGCAGGGCAAAGAAATCCAATGTCCCAGCTAGCTCATTTTCAGGAAACTCAGACTGAGAGCCTGAGGTCATTTTTGGACGTAATGCTCCTTGCATCACACCAGAGAAGTGTCACCTTCCTTCACTATAATCGGCCCTCTGAAAAGCAAATACATATATCTTATAGAAGTATGCAGACATTGGGCACTGTATGCATCCAAATTTCATAACAAGAGATGAGAAGTGCCAAGGTAATTAAAACACACATGCAATCTCAAAACTCCACTTATGATTTACAAACGTTTTTTTTACTACACCTGCTAAAAGATGTATAGTTCATTTGTTTGATCTAAGTTTTAGGTATTTTACCTCCATGAGTCTGCCTTGGAAGTGGAAATGTGTCATGGGATAGTTCAAGTGCAGAGAGATCCTGGATAGTGCCTGGGTAACTAGTGGACTTACCATGCGGAGGGAGCACCCAGCATGCCTCTCCAAGAAAACACTCAAGACCTTAAAAGAGAAGTGGGGATATTCCTTTGGCAAAAGTGTATGGAACTAGCTTTCTTTTTGTTAACATAGAAACTATCATGGGTTAAACTTAGAAAATCCAAAGATGATTTCTGAATTGATGTCTCTGTCCTGTGATGATACTGGAGTAGGCTCTATAAGAGGTTCTTATGTGACTTAAACACGCTACTGTCCTGAGCCTGCTTTGTGGAACTATTGAGCTCTGGACCAATTCATCAGAAGGTGTATTCTTCAGCCCCACAAGCATCTGTCTCTCTGCAGCTTCCTGCCCCAGCCTTGAGACCTCAAGAGGGTGTGATATTCCTTTAGCCATCTGCCAGGACCAATAACTTTTCACATAAAATTGGAAGAACCCAATGTTGATTCTCTTTATATTCTAATGCATCATAATGGCGGTGATAAGCTAAGTAAATGTGCAGAATTCTATGCTGGCTGATTTTTCTTAGACTCATGTTACCAGTCAGGGATGCAGGAGAAAACAAATGGCATAGTGGAATTATACTAATTTAGGATCACTTGATGAGTTTAATAAAAGGACTTTTTCATAAATATAGCCAGTATATAGAGAAATGAGACGGTATAGTCCAAGACCTTGGGGCTAGAAAGGGGGAGGAAGATTTACCACCCTAAATCTGAAAAGAGATAGAGAGAGAACATGACTCAGATTTGGACGGAGCTAAGAAATGACAGCCACCTGTCAGAAGCTGAAGCTTTAGATGGAAGGCCTCACCCAGCCCTCACAAACCTCACAGGAAAGAGCAAAGGGGACAAATATCCTGACCTCCCTTTATGCCCTCTCCTCCCTCCTTCTGACCTCCTGCTGGTGTTTCTGAATGGCCCAATCCAATGCTTAATCTGAGTCTAGAAGACAATGGCATATTGGAGAGGCAAGAAAAGATATTCAGCACACTCACTTACTAAGAGGAAGGGATGGAAGGCACCTTACTCCTGAGGGTCAGAGAAAAGCAAGAAAGCAAGACCAAAATTATACTGCTTGAAGTGCCTCAGAGCATTGACAGTCAAATCAAAACTGTCAAGCAAGATGAAACCACATGTGATCTGCTTGTGCTTTCTCCGTAGAAAAGCCTCCCGAAAACTGAGGTTTTCCTTTTGCTTTTGCCAAATGACTCTTTTAATTGATATTGGATACTGATATTATCTGAGCCTCATTAATCAGCACACAATGGTGACATGTTGGATGGTACTTGGCAATAAGAGGAATACTCAAAGGAAGCTATGGTACTTGACAATAAGAGGAATACTTATTTTCCTCACATGGATAATCAGAAAAAAGAAAGAAAGAAAGAAAAAAAAATCAGGTTGACAGCCAGTGTGTGACTTCATGACTATGGGTAGTCACATATGTTCTAACTTACTTGTTTCTTTCACTCATCATTCCATTGCTTATGATTACTAATAAGTTTCACAACTTTATTATTTTATAAATAATTATCTAATTTTGAGGATGCTGGTTATTTTCAAAACATTTTATATTTCCTTTATTCTTTATCTCCTGTATATCTGGGGTAAACAACAACAACAAAAAAGTTCCCTCAATTTCTCTCTTCAGATAAAATAGTGCAGGCCAGGGCTGCCTGACCTTAGAAATTCTGAGAGTGTTCCTTTTCCATCTCATAATACTCTCTTACCTAACCTCTCAGAGTTCTTAAAGAATACAATAACATATGAATCATTTTAAAAAATATTCTGTTTTACCCTTGTGCTTCTTTTTGAAGGTGTCTGTATCTTCTCACTATTTCTTCAGTGAATTGACTAATTCCTATTTGATTTGTATCTGTAGGTGAAGAACTAATTTCTTGTGTTATCTTATCTATTTTCATTGTTATAAAAGACCCACACACATAAGTGTGTGCTAACACACATACAGACATAGCTGCATATATACATTCCCAGAGAAAAATCTGCAGCCTTTTCTATTCTTTCTGAATGTTCAGGCTTGAAATTTATTGGAAACAAAGCCAATGAATTCACACCTAGAAACTGTGTTGAGAAATATGGCCAATGCCACCTTTAAGAAAAAAAAATGTAGCTTGGTAGTAAGTTCTCCTTAGGAAAGTAGTGCTTTCCTTGCATTATTTCACTAATGTTATTCATGAAGAGTCTAAGAGTGTTTTTCTAAGTGTTGCTTTTCCTCCCTACTATAAAAAGTATAGCTATTTTAGAGAATTTGAAAATTAATTATCTACAATCCCATCTAAAAATATAAGTAGCTTTTAAATATATCATTTCACTGCGTGTGTTATCTGTGTAGTAATAGAAGGGGATAATATACACTGAGTTCACATTAATGGAATTGTTAACTATACTATTGTCATGTCATTCACCCAGACAAATTAACATTTATTAAGGGATGACACTTACACTTTATGCCTAATATGAGCACCTATGCCTAATTTTGACCTACAGAGGCAGAATTTATCTGCCAAATTCGGAAATCTCCGTATATAATAATATATGGAGAGGCTCTTTCCCTGGAATTCTTACAGTCTGCATCACTGAACCCACACTCTGAAAAAAGAATTATAATTACTTTTCTCTACATTTTGCACAACTATGTTTTGTATTTAAAATGATGTCTTGATATAAACTTTCTATTCTTTCTTACCAGGGAATGGTAAAACCCCTGTATTTTAAAAGTATAGTAACTTTTCTGAAAAATTAAGAATTCTTGTTCATGTAGACACTACTGATACCCCCCCATTTTCTCTGCTGAGTTTATCTTAGAATATTGTCTTTTTATATCTGATACCAATACCATCTGAATTAAGTTTTTAATCATTGCTTAGGTACTTCCCCAAAGCCCTCTTTCAGTACAGAAACTTCACAACTTAACTATTAAGGAGGTATTACTTTCTTCCATTGCATTCAAAACTTATGCTTCTTATCACCTGTTACCCTGGGAATGACTAGTGCCTTTGTGACACACTAGTGCTGTCTTTCTCTTTTTCCCTTTGAACAATTTGCATCCTAATCTATTTGAATTTTCAAATATGGCCGGGCATGGTGGCACACACCTGTAATTTCAGCACTTTGGGAGACCAAGGCAGGCAGATCTTTTGAGGCCAGGAGTCTGAGACCAGCCTGGCCAACATGGTGAAACTCCACCTCTACTAAAAATACAAAAAATTTGCTGGGCGTGGTGGCATACATATGTTGTCCCAGCTACTGGGGAGACTGAGGCAGAAGAATCGCTTGAATCTGGGAGGCGAAGGTTGCAGTGAGCCGAGATTACACCATTGTACTCCCTCCTGGGTGACAGAGTGAGACTCTGTCTAAAGAAATAAAAATAAATAAATAAAATCAAATATTCTGTTGAAGTATCTAATTAAAAATAGATCTTCACCTCACCTTTATCCTTGTGTAATTGGTCAGAATTGTGGATATGTCCAGCACTTGACACACAAACTCTTGCTATAGTGTTTCTGAGAGGTGTTAGAGTTTAAAATTTATACATCTAATATTAAATAAGTGAAATTTTAAAAATACGTGAAATAACTGTATTTTCTCTTCTGTATCCAAGGCACACATTTCCAATTGACCACAGCATTTTTTCTGTTGGACTCAAATGTCAACTGATCAGAGCTAGTGTGAGATGAAACCCACCTGCCTCCCACATGTAAAGGATACATTATCTGCCATGAGAATATCATGTATGTGGCAAAGTATAAAACAGAAAGATAATCCATGTTGCTGAAAATAGTATCATAAGGAAAATAATTCATCTGAAATAAAAGTATTGGGAAGGATAAGGGCAGGAAAAAGATTCGCTTCTATCATCCCAATATGTCTGATACTGAAGGACACCATTTCCTTCAGGCTAAAAGTGTTATTGTAATTCAACTTGATGGGTCACTAATTTTTGTCTAAAAATTGTTTTACTATAAGGTACCTAAAGAAATCTTATAACTCACAACTCTTTATGTCCAGCAGGTAGCATAGTACCTTATGGAGTATATTTGTCAACCATTATCATCACCTATGAAGTGACTGACTTTCCATGTCCCTGATTATCTCATGTTGTAAACTGTAATCCTCTCCTATCTCAAGCCTCTTCTGATTAAACCATGGCTTCTCCTGGAATTTAGAAACACATTAAAGATACAGGAGTTATAGGTTGGCCCAGAGACCTGCTATGTCACAATTTTTTCTTCAGGAGGTTTTAGAGGACAAGGTAGAGGAAGCATATTTTTCATTTTAAAATATTTTATTGATAGCATCATTAAATTAAGAAATTATAAATTTTATTTTATTTATTTGATTTTTGGCACCATTTAAGCTACTTAAATGAAGTAGCTTGTGGTTGGCAGAGCAGTAATTATCAGAAACAGCTAGAAGGGAAAGACAAAATACAAAAACTATCCATGTGAAGCTATGAGTAACCTGCTAGAACTGAAGGAATATAGATCTAGGATAGAAAAAAAAATGAAAGTAAACTGATATATTAAGATCTACTTTTCTACATGATCTTTAAAAGCAAGACCCAAATGATCAGTTAACTTCACTCCAGAAAACAATTTTAAGAATATTTATAGGAAACAAAAATTATCTAGCATTCATGATCGTAGTTCAAATTATCTGCATTCAACCAAATGAAAATAATAAACCCATAGATTCAAGTAGTTCAACAAACCCAAAGCCCAAGAAACATAGAGAAAATTAACCCCAATATATCATAAACAAATTTCTCAAAACTGGTGGTAAAGAAAAAAAGCTATAACAATGAGGATAAATGGATACCACATTTACCCTGATGTGATTATTACACACCGTATGCCTATATCAAAATATCACATGTGCCCCATAAATAGATATACCTACTATGTACCCATAGAAATTAAAAATAAAATTTGTAAATGGAAAAAAAGACATGTTAGTAGGGAGGAGTAAAGGTAGGGAGAGTAGTAGATTTCTCAATGGTAGAAATGCAAACAAGAAGTCAGTGGAAGAATGTCCGTAACAATTGAAAGGAAAATAAAACACTGCCAATCTAGAATTTTATACCTGCTTAGCACATTTTTCAGATATAAAAGGCAAAATTAAATACCTTTTCAGACAATGAAGTTTAAAAGAATGTACTCTTAGTAGAACTACACTGCAAGAAATATTAAAGGTAATCCTTTAGGGAGAAAATAAAAGATACCAGATGAGAAAAAGGGAAAAAGAGCACCGCACCAGAGATGTCATATTCATAAGTAAATACATAATGTTATTTCTAATTTTTATTTATTTATTTATTTAGATGGAGTCTCACTCTGTCGCCCAGGCTGGAGTGAAGTAGCGCGATCTTGGCTCACTGCAACCTCTGCCTTCCAGGCTCAAAGAATCCTTTCTCCTTAGCCTCTCGAGTAGCTGAGACTACAGGAGTATGCCACCACGCCCTGCTAATTTTTTGTATTTTATAGTTGCATTGGGTATATTTTGTGGTATGTAAATTATATCTCATCAAAATTGTTCTTTTTTTAAAAGAAAGCAACAAGTGGTCAGGACTGAGAATTTGGATGAAACAAACTTGGTACTGTATTTATAATTGTTGGTGGTGAGTGATTGGTAACATGTGTCTATTGTACTACTCCTTTTACTTTTCTGTGTGTTTTAAAGTTCTCAGAATAAAAAGTAAAAACAAAAAGACAATAAAAGATCCATATTTTGATCTAATGTGTAACTTATTTCACACAGGCTGCCTGGTGCACTATTAGCAAATGCTATTCATTCCCCCAAGCACCTACATTCATTTCTAACCAATAACTATGTTGATTTAAACTTCCTAATATTTTTTATCTCAGTCATTTATCATTCTTAATAAGTCTAGAGAACCACTTTCAATTCAAATTCTCTCTTCAATTATGAATGAACCAAATGCCTGATTTTCATGTATCTCCACATTTCAGCAATCTCATTCAATACACTATGAGATTACTGAGAGTGCTCTGTGCCAGTGAGGGACTGGAAGGCAGGAAACTGCTTCTAATAATGCCTTGGTGTTCTCTTACTCTTATTTTAGCCATTGATTAATAGCTCCCTATGAAATAGTCATATGCCTTAAATTATTTTATAAGTTTTCCCAGAAGGAAAGTTTGAACACTTGAAGTTAATGCCATTTTCCCAGCTGCTACATTGGGAGTTTCTGTGAAAAAGTGGTTTGTTTCTTTCTCAGTTCTGCCAACACCATGAGCATCTTGGACAAGCAACAATTTAACTTCTCTTTATCTGAGTTATCTCTAATATTAGGACCACAGTTCTTCCACTTTACTTTCCTTGCCTTAGGGATGGAATCCCAATCAATTTTTCTGGAGATCTGACATGCATATTCAGGCTAATTGTCACCTCCCTTTTGAAGCCCTGTTTCTTCCCCTGCTATTGGTATTCATTTTTTTCTGAGTTTTAATATTACTTTGATTATTATGCACCCTCAACATTTATCACAGTGTAACTTGTATTACTGGAAGATGATTTCATGCCTGTCTCTCCACAAAGGGTGTGAACTCTTTGAAATATGTGACTTTGGACAAACTATATTCAATTAATCTTTGTATCCCAGAGGCTAGTGCAGTTCTCCCTCAACATGTTTGTTGATTTGAATTGAATTAGAGGTTGTCTTGTCCTATGTCTACATTTTATAGGTAAAGAAACTCAAGCCTAGATTGATCAATGTCTGCTCATCCTTTTAACTTCATGGAACACATAGAAAATATTAACATTTGTAGAGTACACTAAAGCAATTGAGTGAGACTGTTCCGAGGGACATGCTACTTCCCTGAAAGCTCCAGCGACCAAAGAATGTCCTCTCCCAGTCCTTCCCTGACCAACTCAAAGGCTAAGTGGATCATTATCCCAACCTAGCTATCAACAGGCATTCCATGAGAGACAGGTATACCTTGACATAAAAGCATACCATGAGAGATGAAAGTTCTGGCAGTGTATGTGTCTCAGGGTCATCCAGCTTTCTGGCTCCAAATACTTTCCATGTACAATTGTGATTAAATTTATATGGCAAAAAAAACTTATTACTGATAAAACACTCTGTCCTTCAGTTCCACAGATGGTAGCCAACTCCTCCTGGCTTATTTTTATACAAAAGTCTATAAGCAAAATTATCTTAAGAGCATTATTTATGCTCTCACATGCAAGTGGGATATTTTGAATGAATATTGGTTTTGTTTTCTGCATTCCCAGATGCAACAGTTCTAATTATCCTAGTTTCCAGGGCCCCATAATGACTTCTATGAACCCTGAACAGTTTTGCCTTCATGGGCCCTTTCCTTCCTTTAAAAAACAAATAAAATTTATATTTTATGGCTCTGTTGCCATAAAGATGAATAGAGTCCAAAGCTAGATTCATGATCACATATTATTATTATATGAGTTTTCTCATTTAAAAGATTAATAATAAAATATTCTCTTGGGCCCTGGGCACTGTGCCTACTAAAAAATTGATTCTGCCTCATCCATTATTGATTTCTGGCTTTGAAGTTGACCCACATAGGACCCTTAGTTAATCGTCCCATGGACTAAATTTCTGGATATCTTCAGTGGCAGAACAATTGGTCTTATTAATGGTTGCATAGAAAGGTAGCAAGAGTCTAATGTATAAGCAAAGACTGAAAACAGTATATTCTAATCCCTACTCTAGAGCACATTAATAAGTGACCTTGGGCAAGTCCATCAAACTTAGCTTAATTATAGTTCTTCACTAAAAAATAACTCATGGGGGGCTAAATTAGAACACTTGAATCATTATATAAGACTTAATATGGTGAATGAAAAGTTGCCTACCTGACCATTACTGGGTAATTTATTCCTGCCACAAAAACTGAATACAAAATCTGAACTCACAGAATGCATAGAATATGATCAATCTCTCATGCTTCCTAGGTCCTGATTACCTTCAACTGAAAAAGGCTGTTTTGTTTTCCAAAGAGCAAGTGCTCCTGAATTAGTGTAAGACACAATAGATAAAGAAGAACAGAGTAAGTGGCTGAAGAGATTATATAATTCATAAAAGCATCATGAAAGATCAATTGTTCTTAGTTCCTACTCTTTGTGTAACATGAAGGCAGAAGGCCGTTCCATGCATTTTCCTTTCCTATGGATTTTATTGAGAACTCTTTCTCACTAGTGTGGCCAAGTAAAAGCTGATGTTAGGTGAGGATAGTTTTTTTTTTTTTTTTTTTACCTTCACTTAAATTCCAGTCTGAAATGAATCATTTCCAGGTGAGCTCAGATCTGGTCAAGAAAATAAATCTGGGCCCATGATAGCTCTCTTTTCTGCAGTCTTTGATATGTATAATAAAATAAGTCCCAAACTACTGCTGCTAGTTTCATAAAGCACCAACTTCCACGAGGAATCTGATAACTGCCAACCCTCATTCCGGGAAGACTTAGGCATTTTATACCAACTCTTATCCAATTCATTTCATTTATCGCAGACAACAAAACTGCTTTCCTCAGAGAACTTGGAACCACATCACTGTTGAGACCTCAGATTAGGGGCTGACTACCAGGAAGGGATCTTTCTCCCTTAAGGCTCCTCAGGAACTTTGTATTTACTTTCTTTACAATGGCTACATTAGGTTGTTCAGGTAGCATATCTGCATTCAGACCATCATTAGAACTGCAATCTCCTCTCACTGATCTAGCATCTGAGAGTGGAAGTGGGGGTAGAATTGGTAAGAGAGAAGCATCTATTGTATTTGTGGATTTTAATTTGTTCACTCAAAACATATTTACCAAATGACAAGTACCAGATTCTAATAGGCAAAGATGGAAGACAGCATCTGTTCTAAGAGGGTTCATACAATCTGAAGGAAGAGATGGTAAGAAACAACCCTCACATTGGAGATAAACACTATGATTGATATAATTAGAAAAATATCTCATATATTCCCTACAATAGAAAAGTATTAAGATGGTGACAGCTTATGGTTAACACCAGATACATTCAGATTATTTCTTTTTTTAAAAAAAATTTATTATTATTATACTTTAAATTTTAGGGTACATGTGCACAACGTGCAGGTTTGTTACATATGTATACATGTGCCATGTTGGTGTGCTGCACCCATTACCTCGTCATTTAGCATTAGGTATATCTCCTAATGCTATCCCTCTCCCTTCCCCCCACCCCATAACAGTCCCCGGTATGTGATGTTCCCCTTCCTGTGTCCATGTGTTCTCATTGTTCAAATTCCCACCTATGAGTGAGAACATGCGGTGTTTGGTTTTTTTGTCCTTGCGATAGTTTGCTGAGAATGATGATTTCCAGCTTCATCCACGTCCCTACAAAGGACATGAACTAATCATTTTTTATGGCTGCATAGTATTCCATGGTATATATGTTTCTTTATTAAGTTTACTGTGTTTTCTCTACCTCATGGTTTCTACAGGGGTAGGTACTATTCTCTGTTTCCTGCTATTTTATTCTTTTTTTTTTTTTTTTTTTTTTTTTTTTTTGAGACGGCGTCTGGCTCTGTTGCCCTGGCTGGAGTGCAGTGGTGCGATCTCAGCTCACTGCAAGCTCCGCCTTCCGGGTTCACGCCATTCTCCTGCCTCAGGCTCCCGAGTAGCTGGGACTACAGGCGCCCACCGCCATGCCCGGCTAATTTTTTGTGTTTTTAGTAGAGACAGGGTTTCACAGTGTTAACCAGGATGGTCTCAATCTCCTACCTCGTGATCAGCCCGCCTTGGCCTCTCAAAGTGCTGGGATTAACAGGCGTGAGCTACCATGCCTGGCCTATTTTATTCTTAATATTACCTGGGCTTCTGAATTCTTTTCATGTTAAAATTCATCTTTCTCCAACACTATTTTCTTTTTTTTTTTTTTTTTTTTTTTTTGAGTGGGAGTCTTTCTCTGTCACCCAGGCTGGAGTGCAGTGGCGCGATCTCTGCTCTCTGCAAGCTCTGCCTCCCGGGTTCACGCCATTCTCCTGCCTCAGCCTCCCGAGTAGCTGGGACTATAGGCACCTGCCACCACACCCGGCTAATTTTTTGTATTTTCAGTAGAGATGGGATTTCACCGTGTTAGCCAGGATGGTCTCTATCTCCTGACCTCGTGATCCGCCCGCCTCAGCCTCCCAAAGTGCTGGGATTACAGGCGTGAGCCACCATGCCCGGCCCTCCAACATTATTTTCTTGTATTTCTCCCAGATTTTCCTCCAAAGAGACAAAACATTCACTTTTAAAATTAAACAGAAAAAAATAAACTTTCAAAATGCAGATACAGGATATTGTATTAGTTTACTAAGGCTACTATAACAAATTAGCACAAATTTGATGGCTTAAAACAACACAGATATGTATTCTCTACAGTTCTGAAGCCTAGAAATCTAAAATCAGATTCACTGGGTTAAAGTAAAGGTGTCAATAGGGCGGTGCTCCTCTGTAGACTCTAGGGGAGAATTTCTTTCCTTGTCTTTCACAGCTGCTAGATGCCATCTCGATCCTTGCTTATGGTCTCTTCCTCTATGGTCAAAGTTCATCACTCCAACCTCTACTTCCAATGTCCCACTACCTTCTCTCTGACTCTGATTCATCTTTCACCCTTCTTTTTATGATATATGCTTCACTCTGGATAGTCTGATGATCCTTACTTACATCAGCAAATTTCCACTTACAAAATAAGATATTTATAGGTTTCAGAGATTAGGATATGGGCATATTTGGGGACCATTATTCAGCCTACCACAGGTATTTTGAGCCCCAATGAATTCACGAATACACTCCCAGCTTATATTTCTGGGTGGCACATTCTATGCCACCACCATATATTTCTTCACTCCTCAGTCCACTCTTGGGCCTCGATTATATATGCAAAAATCAATCACCCACTTAAAAGTGGTTATTCTTGTTAATGTTTCCCAATGTGAACATATGGCAACTTTTTTCCCCATTAAAAAAAATGTTCATGAACATTTTTTTTAAATGCAATTGGGTAATTCTGGCTTATTGACATTTAACTTATCTAAAAATTTTACTTGGGAAAGTGCTCAGGCTTACAAAAAACTGAAGATGTTTCTCCCTCATTTCATGGTCTTAAAAAGAAACATACAGTTCCCAGTGTTTTGTTTCTGTGAGACTGGCTTTTGTTCTAATTTTACATTTAGCTAGTCCTCAGTGAGGAATTTTTTTTCTGAATCAAAATTCTCTCAGAGTCAGTAAAAGAAGAGGGTTTGGTTTCGTCTTGTTCAAATGAAGACAAAACACCTCTCAGGTTTTCACTGAGCAGTTGCCCATGAGGATATGACTTTCACCTGCATTTGATAGCACCAACAGTGCTAGACTATTTCAGCTTTCTCCCTCCAGCCTCAAAGTAGCCTTGCAATGGAGAGATCAAGTTATGCAAAACAGTTCAGCTCTCGGACATTTGCTTCATTCTCATTTTGATATCATTTCTTATTTATTGATAAGAACAATCAAAAGTGCTGAGTACTTTTGGAAACCAAACTGTTTATTTCATACCACAGATTATAGAGAAATCTTAGTGATTTTTATAATCAGTATATTTGTAAAGATTGAGATAATCAAATGCAGACAAAAGCACCTAATAATTAGAGTTAAAAATGACAAATACGTTGTGATTCCTTTGGAAAAATCTGTTCCTTATACTGCATATACTTAGCGTTTCTGTTAGGAGAACCATCAATATCCACTGTTTATCAAATATTGATAGTTTTTGGAAATTTTGGGGCTTTAATCAAAATTGTTGCTATGAAAATCTTAATTTTGGTCATTTTCCTTCTTATATTTCAAATCTAATTTTTAGGAAGGCAAGACTGGAAGGCTGCAAAAGCAAAAATTAGGAGACTGGATGCTGTCCTCAGCTTACCTGACAGCATTTGGCAAATTGTTCAGTACAAACACTACAAATCCTTTTTGCTTCCAACATCACAATGCCTCGTGAGATACTAGTCCCAGCAGGCTTTGAATACTTGGTGATAAAGGCCCTACATAAATACCAAGTGCCTGTATTTGTACCTAATTATCATAATTTCTTTATTTAACGTTTATTCTATTTTACATTCATATAAATATATATGAGTGATTTGTATAGGCCTTGTATATTTTGAAAAGAAATACAGCCAGCAAAGGTTGTATGGGTCACATTTGGCTTCATATTTGACTCATCAAATCCTCAATTGAATTGATACCAGGCTTTACTTTATGTAATCAATTTTAGATGAAAAACAATAAAATCACCTTGATTTCAGATATGAAGCCACAATTACCATTTCCATCCTCAGTATAATTTCACTATAGCTATCTGTATCCTAGAAAACTATCAACACAACATTAAAATGCTGTAAAAGAGATTATGAGTCCTCTGTTTTCATACAAGTCTTATCAGTTCTATGGCCACCCCTACATCCCACAAATCCTGTTGATAGGGTGATTTCTCCATCTTTAATTTCACTGGTCAGGTGAAAATAATTATATATATCTGTCTTTCATTTTTCTAGTTTCTTGGTTAATTCTAGTTTTAACATAGATTTTATAATTGATTAAGATGTTTATTCAAACATACAACTAAGGCTTCTTTCTTGTTTGGAGAGAAAAATCTCATCCCATTCAATTCCCTCCTTAAGCAAATATCTTTATATTATTAATGTGAATATTAAAATATGCTAAGATATAAGACTAATTTAATCATGAGAGAAACATGTTCACAGAATCAAATATACATAATGCAGAAAGTTACTTAATTTCTGAGATTTGGTTTTTCATATATAGCATGGGAATGATATCTAACTTATAGAATTGCTTTGAAGATGAGATAAAATATATTTAATGTCTTATTATAGTGCCTGGCACAGAGCCAATCCCTCAAGAATGATAACTCTGATTATTAATAGTAGCAGCTGTATTATCAAAATCATTGTTATGTCACAGTCCTTCTTAAGTAAATGAGTAAAATGAATCCTATAGAGATTGAAATGTGTTCTCTTCAAGTCTTTAGAGAATAATTCTGATTTGCAATAAAATGTCTTGAAGTCAGAAATCTACATAACTACATGTACCATTGCTCCTTGCTCCTGTAAAAATTCAGACAGTTTCCTCCAGATGCTGGGTACAATGGACTCAGAACCCTAAATAATAGAGTCTAAATAATTAAAGTGAACACTATGTTATAATACCTCTACTAAGGGAACTGCAAGCCAGTGTGTCATTTTGTCTTTTGTGGCTGTTTTGTCTCCTTTGTTTTTTACGTAGTGCCTGGAGAAGGGTACTTTCAATTTCAATCACTTATAATTCTGCAGTAATTACTGACACATTAATAGAAACATGTTCCAGGAATTAAAATACAAGTGTGACTGAAGAAAGCAAATAAAGGCATGTTAGAACTCTTTTGGTTATGAGTGACAGAAACTCAAATCAAACAAGCTTGTTTTGGTTTTTGTTTTTTTTGTTTCTTTTGTTTGTTTGTTTTTAGATAATTTATTGGCTTTCTTAACTGGAAAATTTAACAACTGAGTTTTGCAGGTGAGGTTGTTATGGAAGAGAGAAAATTCTTATCAGGATTAAAAATGTGTATGAGAACCTGCATTAATATTGAAAAATAATTATAAGCTAGTAAAAGTTTTCTGCTAAAGCAAGTAGGGTGCTCAAATTTGCAGGATATTTTCCACTAAGGAAACAGTGCATTTATTCAACAAATTTTTATTATGCACATGGAAAGAGTGCATTTATTCAACAAATTTTTATTATGCACATGGATAGACATTATCTGGTTGCCTGTCCAGACAGACCTTCTGCCTTCTTCACCCTGCTATGTACTTCAAGACTGACACATGAACTGGGCTCCCTTATCCTGTCTTCCAGCTTCTGATTTCTTCAGACAAGTTTAGGCACTGTCTGAAAGCTTAAGGGCAGGATGAAAGAGTTCAGGGTATTTACTCTTTCTGTTCATGTTTGCTATGCCTTGAGTTGGCTAAAGCTATGTTCCTCTACCAAAACTACAGCTTCTTTCAGATGGGTCTCTCTTGTAGCCAGAAGTTTTCCAGTAAATAATCTCCTTGTCCTTTCAAGCCTATAGATGATGGCAACTTTCTGGTTTTGCCAGCCCTTGGGTGTTTTGCCACCTATTGAGTATCCTGAAACCTGGCCACAACTTTGTAATAACTGATTTAGTAAAATGTTTTCAAAAACCCTTTATGACTTTGCTATCTTTTTCTTGCTGATTTTCTGTCTGATACAGTAATTTATATTAGGTCTAGTGCCTGAAAAAGACCTTCAAAAGGTAATTCTGTAATTGGGTTGCTCTCATGTTGGATGAGTATGCTAACCTTTTTACAGGGGTGGGAAAATGTAGCACTGTTATCCTATGGCTTCCAGTGGCATCCTAATTACTCCAATAAACACCAAGGAGGCACGGGATGAAATCCTGATGAAGTGCAAAGCGATGAGAGATCAAGTGGTTATTGCATTTAAACACTACAGTGATGATGGCGCTTACAGAGATTTTGGCACCAGGTGGTTTGCTTCTGCTGGCCTCTGAGATCTTGTACAAAGATCTCTGGTATATTGCAAGAATTCTTCTCGTTTTAGTACCCATATAATTTCAATGTGCCTTTGTAGCACTTCCACCACAGAGGTGATCTATTACTCCTCTGTTTAACTCTGGGCTTGTCTTGTGGCTTTCTCTGCCCAATGGAATGCCGTAGATGTAATGTTATGGCACTTCTAAGCCCAGTCTTTAGAGACTCTGCACACATCTATTGTGTTCTCATAACCCGGCCAGTCTTCAAGCAATTTGGCCTGGGCCAGCCTAAATTTTGAAAAGAAAACCTCTTTCCCTCATCTTAGCTAACAGCCAATCAGTTGCCAAACATGTGAATAAATTCACTCCACTTGTCAACTGGCTGCAAAAAGCATCCACCATAAAGAGTAACCAATAAATTTAACTCCATTAAAATTAAAAATGTCTAGCTCTAAATATTATAAAGGGAAAACAAGTCATTTTAGAAAAAAATATAAGAATAGATAAAAAGCAATGGCCTTTATTTGGAAATACAAGAAAACTCTTACATATTAAAAAAATGTTGGCCAGGCGTGGTGGCTCACGCCTGTAATCCCAGCACTTTGGGAGGCCAAGGCGGGCAGATCACGAGATCAGGAGTTCAAGACAAGCCTGGCCAACATGGTGAAACCACGTCTCTACTAAAAATACAAAAAAATTAGCTGGACATGGTGGAGCGTGCCTGTAATCCCAGCTACTTGGGAGGCTGAGGCAGGAGAATTGCTTGAAATGAGACCTGGGAGGTGGAGGTTGCAGTGAGCCGAGATCATGCCACTGCACTCCAGCCTGGGCTATAGAGCGAGACTCTGCCTCAAAAAAAAAAAAAAAAAAAAAAAAAAAAAAAAAAAATTTAAAATATAGGTGATTCAATAGAAAAATAGGCTGATTACTTCAACAGGCACATTATAAAAAGAAATGTACCTGAATCATACACATATAAAAATGTGCTTAATCTCTTTAGAATTGAAAATGTGCAAAATAATAATATAACAGGATATCATAACTCACTCAAAATATTGCCAAATATATAAAAGTTAGAAAATACCAACTGTGTTAAATTGAGTGATTGGTTTCAATTCTTCATCTCCCTGTAAAAGGATTATGCAGCTATACCCCTGCTTGTCATGGATTCAAGGCAGGCAGAGTGAAATCCTTCACCCCTTTATGAAAGCAGATTATGCTTCAAAGCACAGACTGATCACTGCTGAAAGCACAGACTGATCACTGCTGGAACCACAGTGGTTTTGTGATTACATGTTTATAATTTTAGATCAAAGTTAGTAGTATCACAGATCCTGCCTACCCCCCTCAACCTTCAGTAAGGCTTTAAACTGTATGAGATACTAATAGAATAATTATTCTTAGCAATCAGTTTCACAAACAAGAAATAAAGAATTAAATAACTGCCTTTTCTCTTTGAGGAGAGTATTAAGTACTCAAAGCAAGAAGAAATTTTTCAATAATCAATTTTATAGGAAAATTGAATAAACTGAGTTAGCAAGTGTCTCATGAAATTTTTTTTATTATTATACTTGAAGTTCTAGGGTATATGTGCACAACGTGCAGGTTTGTTACATATATATACATGTGCCATGTTGGTGTGCTGCACCCGTTAACTTGACATTTACTTTAGGTATATCTCCTAATGCTATCCCTCCCCCCTCCCCCAACCCCATGACAGGTACTGGTGTGTGATGTTCCCCACCCTGTGTCCAAGTGTTCTTATTGTTCAATTCCCACCTATGAGCAAGAACATGCGGTGTTTGGTTTTCTGTCCTTGTGATAGTTTGCTGAGAATGATGGTTTCCAGCTACTTCCATGTCCCTACAAAGGACATGAACTTATCCTTTTTATGGCTGCATAGTATTCCATGGTGTATATATGCCACATTTTCTTAATCCAGTCTGTCATGGTTGGGCATTTGTGTTGGTTCCAAGTCTTTGCTATTTTGAATAGTGCCTCAATGAACATACGGGTGCATGTGTCTTTATAGTAGCATGATTTATGATCCCTTGGGTATATACCCAGCAAGGGAATCACTGGGTCAGATGGTATTTCTAGTTCTAGATCCTTGAGGAATTGCCACACTGTCTTCCACAATGGTTGAACTAGTTTACAGTCCCACTAACAGTGTAAAAGTGTTCGTATTTCTCCACATCCTCTCCAGCACCTGTTGTTTCCTGACTTTTTAATGATCGCCATTCTAACTGGTGTGAGATGGTATCTCACTGTGGTTTTGATTTGCATTTCTCTGATGGCCAGTGATAATAAGCATTTTTTCATGTGGCTGTTGGCTACATAAATGTCTTCTTTTGAAAAGTGTCTGTTCATATCCTTTGCCCACTTTTTGATGGGGTTGTTTGATTTTTTCTTGTAAATTTGTTTAAGTTCTTTATAGATTCTGGATATTAGCCCTTTGTCAGATGGGTAGATTGTAAAAATTTTCTCCCATTCTGTAGGTTGCCTGTTCACTCTGATGGTAGTTTCTTTTGCTATGCAGAAGATCTTTAGTTTAATTAGATTCCATTTGTCAATTTTGGATTTTGTTGCCATTGCTTTTGGTGTTTTAGTCATGACATGCTTGCCCGTGCCTATGTCCTGAATGGTATTGCCTAGATTTTCTTCTAGGGTTTTTATGGTTTTAGGTCTAACATGTAAGTCTTTAATCCATCTTGAATTAATTTTTGTATAAGGTGTAAGGAAGTTTCAGCTTTGTACATATGACTAGCCAGTTTTCCCAGCACCATTTATTAAATAGGGAATCCTTTCCCCATTTCTTGTTTTTGTGAGGTTTGTCAAAGATCAGCTGGTTGTAGATGAGTGGTATTATTTCCATGGCTCTGTTCTGTTCCATTGGTCTATATCTCTGTTTTGGTACCAGTACCATGCTGTTTTGGTTACAGAAAAGAGAGAAGAACCAAATTGATGCAATAAAAAATGATAAAGGGGATATCACCACCGATCCCACAGAAATACAAACTACTACCAAAGAGTACTATAAACACCTCTATGCAAATAAACTAGAAAATCTAGAAGAAATTTTAGACCAATATCCCTGATGAACATTGATGCAAAAATCCTCAATAAAATACTGGCAAACCAAAATCAGCAGCACATCAAAAAGCTTAACCACCAAGATCAAGTTGGCTTCATCCCTGGGATGCAAGGCTGGTTCAACATAGGCAAATCAATAAATGTAATGCATCACATAAACAGAACCAAAGACAAAAACCACATGATCATCTCAATAGATGCAGAAAAGGCCTTTGACAAAATTCGACAGCCCTTCATGCTAAAAACTCTTAATAAACTAGATATTGATGGAATGTATCTCAAAATAATAAGAGCTATTTATGACAAACCCACAGCCAATATCATACTGAATGGGTAAAAACTGGAAGCATTCCCTTTGAAAACTGGCACAAGACAAGGATGCCCTCTCTCACCACTCCTATTCAACATAGTGTTGGAAGTTCTGGCCAGGGCAATCAGGCAGGAGAAAGAAATAAAGGGTATTCAATTAGGAAAAGAGGAAGTCAAATTGTCCCTGTTTGCAGATGACATGATTGCGTATTTAGAAAACCCCATCGTCTCAGCCCAAAATCTCCTTAAGCTGATAAGCAACTTCAGCAAAGTCTCAGGATACAAAATCAAGTGCAAAAATCACAAGCATTTCTACACTCCAATAACAGACAGAGAGCCAAATCACGAGTGAACTCCCATTCACAATTGCTTCAAAGAGAATAAAATATCTAGGAATCCAACTTACAAGGGATGTGAAGGACCTCTTCAAGGAGAACTACAAACCACTGCTCAACGAAATAAAAGAGGACACAAACAAATGGAAGAACATTCCATGCTCATGGATAGGAAGAATCAATATCATGAAAATGGCCATACTGCCCAAGGTAATTTATAGATTCAATGCCATCCCCATCAAGCTACCAATGACTTTCTTCACATAATTGGAAAAAACTACTTTAAAGTTCACATGGAACCAAAAACGAGCCCGCATTGCCAAGACTATCCTAAGCAAAAAGAACAAAGCTGGAGGCATCACGCTGTCTGACAAAATATTTATACACTTTTCTGGTAATGAGAGAACAGTGATGTGAAGTGGGGAAATATCCCTAAATCAAGCATAATGTCAACTTTGTTAGAATCCTCACCTTAACATTTAATAACATTTCTATGGGCAAATCACTTAATCTGTCTCATATCAATTTATCTTTTTAAACTGAGATTTTAAAGGACCTAGAGTTTCCTTCTACATTTCACATTTCAAATCTCTAAGACAATTGTTAATTTTTTTGAAATTTCTGCCTTCTCAGTGATGAGGTCTTCCAGACCTCAGTAACTTGGTCAAGTCAATCAGAACTTTAAACACAATGTTCCAAGTAGGAAATGATATATAAACACCGGCTGAGTATTTCAGTGACCTTTGAAATAGTGGCACCATGCTGGTTACAAAGTAATATCATATCACAGCACTGTCAAAACCATAAACAAGACATTTAAACTAAATACCAACAAACACAAAAAGAAGAAGAAGAGGAAGCATACCAATGAATAGTATCCTGAATTGCATTCCACTCAGAATCTAAATAGAAACTTTTGGTAATTCCAACCTTCTCGCAGGCAATTTCAATCTCATGCACAGAGGAAGTATAAACAATGTTTTTGTAGGATCAGAGAAAAGTAAAACATTTCCTTCAGCATCCAAGTAGCTCCCAACATCATTGGAAAACTTATCTGGGCTAACAGAGACAAGGCTGCAAAAACATAGGAAAGGGTAAGAGAACTATGACCAGGCAGGAGTGCTGACCTTCATTTGCAACAGGATGTGCCAACCTCCCTTTATCAATGGGATGGCTTGTTAGGGCAAGTGCATTGACCATCTGGGAAGGTGTTTTCTTCCCAAAAGTTAAAATGCATGGAGCTGAGCTACCAAATGGATTATAATGGCAAAGGGGGCTTGAATTGAACATCAGGTGCCAAGATACAGGCAAAAATGGAGGCCAGAGAATCAGGAAAACAGGAATGAGAAATACTGGGCTAAAATGGAGGAAAGAGCAGGAAATGTGAACAGATTCTGGTGCTAGAAGGCCATTGTTTGTTGTTTTTGCTGGAAATTTTAGACACTGCCAGCATGTGTGTGCAGAACTCGGGGTGGAGGAAAGCAAAAAGCAATAACGATCACACCTCTTCACTTTTCAGGTTCTGAAGTAGTTGATAAATAAAATAAACAGTAGTTATTGAGGGTAAACAATCACTTCACTAACCAGTGGCTAGGTTGGAGGACCTAGCTTTAGGTGCCATAGAAAAGTAGGATTGCCAGTATTGAACCCCTGGATCAGACAGACTCAGGCACCCAATTGTAGGTTGTGCCACACCAAGGAAGGCCTCTGTGCATCAAGGAAGTCTACGCAGGCAGGACTTACAGTGCAAACAAGTAGAGGAGAGCTTGTCTTGTAAGCCAGCTTGATCTCAGAGCCAAGTGGTGCTAAGCCAAGCCTGTCCAGTTATCCTACCCAAGTTAACCACTCAGATAAATTATTCTGCTTCCTCAGCACAGAACCAGTAAAGCAGAGAAGAAAGATTTAGGTTATAGGTTATATAGATTGAATTCCACTCATAGAAAGGAAACATAAGGAAGAGGAAAGGCACCTGACCCACTACTAGGAAATGGCCTATCTTGGATAGGTAGGCTGAGGCCAGGGTGGAAGGTGTCAGATAGGTATAGAAGTGTCAGCCATGGAAGGTAGAAGTTACAGTGCTGTACTTTAGGAGCTGAAATTAAGCAGTGGCCATTCCAATCCAACCTCTATGTAACTGATTCTTTTTAAGAGCTTTGAATACTGAATGAAGGTGAAAGGGAAAAGGAATTCATTAGCCAGCACTTTCATCACTATATTCCAATTATCTGTTTGTGTTCCAACATTTCCCTATAGCTGCTTGGCACTTTATGTTTTTCAAGATACTTCCACATCTTATCATTTTATTTATTGTTATAATCATCATCTTTAAAAAGACAAAACTGTCATTATCATTTCTATTTTATAGAAAATTATAGAGAGCCAAAATATCATTTTCTTAGAAGCTGTTTAGTAGAAGAACTAAAACAAAAGCATAAGTTTCCTAAAACTTTTACTACTAAAATATGAAACTTAATTTATTTGGTGGTAGAAGCAGAAACTAGCAAAGAAAGCTAAGATATGTTTCTTAACATATTGGCATTATTTTCAGAATATAAAATTCAAATATCTGGCAAAGTTATCATTAACCATCTTATGTTGAAATCTTTGGCCTATTTAGTCTATAAGCTAAAGTTTTAAGTATTACCATGTAGAGGAAAATCTGTTTTGTTTTCTTTAAACACGTCTATTAAAGGTAGGCCTACAGATATTTTGTTTGTTGTTGGTTTTTTGTTTGGTTTTTGGTTTTTGCTAAACTCACAGTAATACAGGAAAACTACTCTAACTATTCTAACCATTGTGCACAAGCTATTCACTCATTTACTTATGCTGAGTGAACAATAAGTGCTGACCTTTATGCTTTGTACTGTAAAGAAGTAAAAGATCCTTTCTGGCAGTGACGACCTACCCATACGAGAACATGCCTCTCACAAAGGATCTCCTTCATCCCTCTCCAGAAGAGAAGAGGAAACACAAGAAGAAACGCCTGGTGCAGAGCCCCAATTCCTACTTCATGGATGTGAAATGCCCAAGATGCTATAAAATCACCACGGTCTTTAGCCATGCACAAACGGTAGTTTTGTGTGTTGGCTGCTCCACTGTCCTCTGCCAGCCTATAGGAGGAAAAGCAAGGCTTACAGAAGGATGTTCCTTCAGGAGAAAGCAGCACTAAAAGCACTCTGAGTCAAGATGAGTGGGAAACCATCTCAATAAACACATTTTGGACAAAAAAAAAAAGAAGTAAAAGATTTGGGCCTTGTTTATGTGAGTATATTCAAGCCAGGGAAATGGATACATAATGCATGTAATAAACTACTGCTCTGAAATGATGGGACATATAGCCTGCAATGAGATCACAAAGGATAAAATAAAGTGAATTTGTTTTAAAGTTTAAACTTTTAGAACTTTTCTTGGAGATTTTATAAAATATCATTTTACTTTATAACCTTATGGAGCTGGGTTAACTCAGCGCAGCTTGTAAATAAAAATGATTTATCTTTGCTATTCATAATATTCTATTAAAAAGAAAGTATAAGTGATAGGTATTAATTATCATTACAGGAATGATCACTTTAGAATTTCTCTGGTTATCACAGTATCTTGAGGTGGGGATTAGGAAAGAACAACTCTTGGATCCCAGAGCAGTAGAATAATATAAGGACTGAATGCTGTGTTTCTAAAAGATAACATGTTCCATTATCCTAGCTGAGAAGAGAATGACAAGTCTCTATAGAATCTCTGGACTGACCTGGCAATAAGCTAATAATTTAATGAATCCACAGAAAGGACCTACTTTTATGATTTTCTTGGTGCCTACTGGGGCATTTTCAATGAAATACAATATGTCCCCAATCACATAGGATTCCATGAAAATGACTGATGCTGTGACTGAAATATTGAGCTATAGTTTTATAAAGTGAAAATATTTCTGGTAGTATTTACAAGAAGCTTCATCTGTGAAAAGTTATTTAGAAAAGCTTGTTCTGGATGGGAAAATGGGCCTGTGTTAGTTTTTCTGATGAAGCATTCTAAATCTCCCCTGTCAATTGAACAATTCACTCCATTAAAGTGGAGAAGATCCCATGGGGTCTTGTGTGTTCCTATCATGGGAACATAAACCATAGTTACGACACAAATGCCCAATTTTGAAGCACTCAGTTCTAAAAATATTCACCTTTTTAAATAGGGGACCCACCTGAGAGGGCACAACTGGTGCAAGGGCCCACACTTCTCAAAGGGCTTTCTTATTATGATTGATTTTCCTTGTCCCAAATGGGTTTTTACTCCATCTTTTTCTTCTTGAAATGAGAAGACTGCCTAATTATGTGTTTCTCAGAGACAATTGATATAGAAACAGCAATTAATTCATCTATTTGATTTCCTGAGTTGGGTAAATTTCTTGAGACAGCCTCTGGCCTTTGAGCTAACAAATATACTACAATATAGAGCATGAGATTGCAGCAAGCCCCAGTGGGGTCATGGGTGGCCTCACAAAGCCTGTTTGGGAAATATCTGTGCTACAAAGTCATAAGACAGCATTTCTAGAAATGACAGGCCATTTGTCATTTAGTGAAGAATAAACAGCCTCAGTGTATAGACATCTACCCCAAGAAAGGGTAGATGAAGAGGTGAGAAGGAATTGAGCTCAAGGTTTGACTTTGGGCATTCACTAACAGTCAATCTGATAAGGGCAAGCTGCATAGTACCCAAATAAGGGAATTTAAAATAAGTAGATACTTAATCAATGTGAGTTGATGATGATAATAAGCTTTGAGGACAGAACCAGCCACAAGGCTGAGCTACATGGCTCAAATTAAAGCATTATATACTATAGAGAGTAATGAGGTTAATTCTGAAGGTCCCAGAAATGGAATCTTTAAGTCAAGAAGAGGGTCAAGAGCAAGATCAGCACGTGTTATGGACAAGATTCATGTGTCTCCCCCAAAATGTATACGTTGAAGTCCTAACGCCCAGTGTGGCTGTATTTGGAATAAGGAGGTAATTAAGGTCATAAAAGTTGGTACCTGATCTAACAGGATTAGTGTCCTTATAAGAGACACCAAAGAGTTCACTCTCTCTCTCCAAGTACACACAGCACACCAAGAAAAGGCCATTGATAACACAGTGAGAAAGTGGCCATCTGCAACCCAAGAGAGGGGCCCTCACCAGACACGAAACCTGCTGGCACTTTGATCTTGACTTCCAGCCTCCAGAACTATGAGAAAATGAGTGTATGTTATTTAAGCCATCCAGTCAGGAGTATTTTGTTATGGCAGCCCTAGCAGACTAATACAGCAAGCATTGGCAAACAGAGAACTTGGAAAGGGAGTTATATGATTTTAGGTTTTCGTAAGACCCATGAATTGATAAATTTGATGTTACAGCATTAGATTTTATATTTCACAATACAGTGTAAGCTGCAGGAGATCAGGTACTTAGTCATTCACTGCTATATCCTCAATTCATAGAACTTAGCAGTTGCTCAATAAATATTGGTTGAATGAATTATATCCTAGAAAGACTGGCCAGAGACTTGCAGGGAGGGCAACTGGAAACAAAAGCAGAGAGGAAAACAGCTCCCACAGCAGCATTTTGCATACAAAAGACACTGGACTGATATTATATCCCAAAACAGAGAAAATTGCAGAAGCAATCACAATAGGCTTTCCAACATTTCAGAGTGAAGTCATTTCTCTAGACTACTATACAAATGCTCAATGAGCCAACTTGGTTGTCTTTCAAAAGGCAAGAGGTAGAAAATGCTGTTAATAAAAAGGCAACTAATTCAGGTTGAACATAATGGAATTCCTTACTTTTCTAAGAAAATAGCCATTGAGTGTCATGACCCAAAATTGAAAATAAACTTGGAAACAAGATGCAAGGGCCAAAAGTGTGTGCGTGTGTGTGTGTGTATATATATGTATATTTATGAAACATCTCATAATTTTCAGATTACTCACCAACAAAGAAAATTCAATCAATACAAAGATCATTAATATTGTGAATATTATATGCTGTAAGTACATGTATAGGAATTTTATACGTAATGATATACGAGAGTTTAGGAGAAAGCCCCATGGTAAAAAAATAATCTAAGCCACTGCTTCTTTCATGTACACTTATATTCCATCAGCCAAAGCAAATCCTAAATAACAAGCCCAAAGTCAAGAGGAATGATGTTCATTTTATACACCAGGGGACCACAACAAGGATATGCATACATAATTTTGTTATAGAGAAATAAAGTATTGGAACTAATAATTTAATCTAACACATTGGTATTTTCTTACTTTTAAAACTTGAAATTCTTTAGTGTTTATAGTGTTATGTTATTATGTTATTATTTTGCATATCTTGATATTAAAGAGGTGAAACACATTTTCATGCATTTTTTTTGCCAGATGAATTTTATTTAAAAAGTATGTGGGAGTGTTATGTATATATTCCAAATTTAAGTCAATTGTCTATTATCTTTTGCACATATCTTCTTTCGCGTCTTTCGAAGTCTCTTGTCTTCACTTTCTTCTAATACTCTGAGGACCTGAATATTTCACTTTAATATAGTTAAATTATCTATTACTTTAATGGTGAATGCTTTTTAGTATTTTTTAAAGAAGTTTTCTGTACTTCAAAAATCACAAAATCATTTTGCTATGTTAATTTCTTTAAATGAGTAGTTTTCCCTTAAACAATTAGGTCTTTAATACACCTGGGATTTAGGGAAGGAGTAGAGTATGAGGTA
Source organism: Homo sapiens (assembly GCF_000001405.40). Classification (NCBI taxonomy): domain Eukaryota; kingdom Metazoa; phylum Chordata; class Mammalia; order Primates; family Hominidae; genus Homo; species Homo sapiens. Next base: position 93,666,255 of record NC_000007.14, on the reverse strand, counting down.
GTGGTGGTCTGATTTCGTTTTTTTAAACATGAATTACAATTGTCTCCTCACCTTTTGTTGAAAACCCTGCATTTCTCCACTTATCTGTTATGCCATCTCTCCCATATGTCAAACATCCATTTAGACATTATTTTTTGAGGGGCGCTATTTTTCCTGCCCATTGTTCTATATTTCTCTTACTGAAGCATGGTGTTTTATTTACTAAAAAATAATAATAATCTTGATATCTAGTAGGAAAAGTCCACCCACCTCAAGTGTAGGGAAAGTTAAAATGCCACAAAATGTACTCTTCTTGCTTCAGTAAGATTTGTTTGTTTTTCTTTTCTTCCTAGATAAATGCACCCCAGATCATTGCAAGCCTTTAGTTAATTTTCAGACTTCTGGAAAACTTGATTATAAGACTATTTACCAGCATTCTATTGTTTTTATAAATGAAATGATTTGTAGAGGTACTTATTGTGCCATTCCTGCTGACATCGCTCTGATAAGTAATTTTTTAATATTGAATTTTTTGTCTTTTTTTTTTTTTTTTTGGAGACAGAGTCTCCCTCTGTCACCTAGGCTGGAGTGCAGTGGCGCAATCTTGGCTCACTGCAAGCTCTGACTCCTGGGTTCATGCCATTCTCCTGCCTCAGCCTCCCAAGTAGCTGGGACTACAGGCGCCCGCCACCACAGCCTGCAAATTTTTTTTTTGCATTTTTAGTAGAGACCAGGGTTTCACTGTGTTAGCCAGGATGGTCTCAATCTCCTGACCTCGTGATCCACCCACCTGGCCTCCCAAAGTGCTGGAATTATAGGCGTGAGCCACCACGCCTGGCCTTATTTTTTGTGTTATTAGCATTGTCTACAATGCTTAGTAGAAGTAGTAAAAATAAACTTAAACTTTCTTTTTTTAATTGGTAATCTCAAAGCAAAGGTTTCTATGTTGTCATTGTTAAGTACAGTGCTGCTATAGATATTTTATATGACCTCTACCAGATTAAGAAACCATGTTTGTCAGTTTTCTAAGATTTCTGTCTAATTTGAATGTTACATTTTCTGCACATATTGAATAATATAATTATTCTCCTCTAAACCCTTAATGTCATAAATTACATTAATTGCTTTTGTAATATTAAACTGAACTTGGTTTTCTTAGATAAGTTCAACATGGCCATAATTTCTTATTCTTTTATGTTTTGTTGGAGCATATTTGTTAATATTTTGTTTAGGATTTTTCACCACAATTCATGACTGAAATTGGCCTGTAATATTCTTCTTCATACTATACCTTTCAGATATTGGTGATGTCAATATCATACCAGACTCATAACGACTTGAGAAGTTATTTCATATTAACTGTGAGATGTTGTGTAAGACTAGAATGAATTCTACCCTGAGAGTTTCATAATACTCACTTGTGAACCATGGATTCCCCTAATACCTAGTGGTATTTTTAAATTTAAATATTTTTCCTCAATGCATTTAAAATGTGTTTACATTTTATTCAATATTTTAAGTATTTTTCAAGCAGAGATTTAATATAAATAACTTGGCCCAACATTTTGCCAGAAGTAAAAGTCAATATTTCTCTTCTATTGCTAGAAATACCAATGTGTTCTTGCCTTATCCTACCTTATAATTGTTAAAATTATAGAGTTTTATATCTTTCTCCAACTTGTCTTTATTTTCCCAATGCCTCCTTGGTTTCAGTAACACTATTTTCTCTCTCTGAAATGTAAACCTATTGTTCTTCTCCTATCCTGTACAGTAGACGTTTCTTCTGATAAATTTTATTCAGCAGCATGACTCTTTAAGATTATTGCATAAAGGTCAGAAGGTAGTTTCAGATTTCCTTGTACACTCAAATTAATTTAATATGTACAAATACTTTCTAATTCTTACATCTCATTTTATTAATTCACATCATCTTTACTATGAGACTTATTTAATTTGATGTATAGAGCTCCCTAGTTTCTTCTTATTATTCAGATTTATCAAGTCACATGAGACTATAATGCTTACCATAACACTCAACATCAACACAAAATGAATGGGACAAGTTTTAAAATCATACAGAGTTAAAGAAACACAAATGGGCTTCTGGTTCCAAGACCAGAACAGCTCCAGTCTGCGGCTCCCAGCGTGATCGACGCAGAACATGGGTGATTTCTGCATTTCCAACTGAGGTACCTGGTTCACCTCACTGGGACTGGTCAGAAAGTGGGGGCAGCCCACAGCCCACAGAGGGCAAGCTGAAGCAGGGCGGGGCATCACTTCACTGGGGAAACACAAGGGGTTGGGGGATTTCCCTTTCCTAGCCAAGGGAAGCCATGACAGATTGTACTGGGAAAATCGGGACACTGCCACCTAAACACTATACTTTTCCAATGGTCTTAGCAAATAGCACACCAGAAGATTATATCCCACACCTGGCTCAGTGGATCCCACGCCCACGGAGCCTTGCTCACTGCTGTCCAAGATCAAACTGCGAGGTGGCAAGCCTGGCTGGGGGAGGGGCGTCCACCATTGCTGGGGCTTGAGTAGGTAAACAAAGTGGCCTGGAAGCTTGAACTCAGTGGAGCCCACCGCAGCTCAACAAGGCCTGCCTACCACTATAGACTCCACCTCTGGAGGCAGGACATGGCTCAACAAAAGGCAACAGAAACATCTGCAGACTTAAACTTCCCTGTCTGACAACTCTGAAGAGAGCAGTGGTTCTCCCAGCATGGTATTTGAGCTCTGAGAACAGACAGACTGCCTCCTCAAGTGAGTCCCTGACCCCCATGTAGCCTAACTTGGAGACACTGCACAGTAGGGACTGATGGACACCTCATATAGGCAGGTGCCCCTCTGAGACGAAGCTTCCAGAGGAAGGATGAGGCAGCAATATTTGCTGCTCTGCAATATTTGCTGTTCTGCAGCCTCTGCTGGTGATACCCAGGCAAACAGGGTCTGGAATGGACCTCCAGCAAACTCCAACAGACCTGCATCTGAGGGACCTGTTAGAAGAAAAACTAACGAACAGAAAGGAATAGCATCAACATCAACAAAAAGGACATCCATACCAAAACCCCATCTGTAGGTCACCATCATCAAAGACCAAAGGTAAATAAAACCACAAAGATGGGGAGAAACCCGAGCAGAAAAGCTGAAAATTCTAAAAACCAGAACGCCCCTTCTCCTCCAAAGGATCGTAGCTCCTCGCCAGCAATGGAACAAAGCAGGACAGAGAACGACTTTGACGAGTTGACAGAAGTAGGCTTCAGAAAGTCGGTAATAACAAACGTCTCCAAGCTAAAGGAGGATGTTTGAACTCATCGCAAGGAAGCTAAAAACCTTGAAAAAAAGATTAGACAAAAGTCTAACTAGAATAAACAGTGTAGAGAAGAACTTAAATGTCCTGATGAAGCTGAAAACCATGGCACGAGAACTATGTGATGAATGCACAAGCTTCTGTAGCTGATTCAATCAACTAGAAGAAAGGGTATCAGTGATTGAAGATCAAATTAATGAAATGAAGCAAGAAGAGAAGTTTAGAGAAAAAAGAGTAAAAAGAAATGAACAAAGCCTCCAAGAAATATGGGACTATGTGAAAAGACCAAATCTAGGTATGATTGGTGTACCTGAAAGTGACGGGGAGAATGGAACCAAGCTGGAAAACACTCTTCAGGATATTATCCAAGAGAACCTCCCCAACATAGCAAGGCAGGCCAACATTCAAATTCAGGAAATACAGAAAACAACACAAAGATATGCCCCGAGAAGAGCAACTCCAAGACACATAATTGTCAGATTCACCAAGGTTGAAATGAAGGAAAAAATGCTAAGGGCAGCCAGAGAGAAAGGTCGGGTTACCCACAAAGGAAAGCCCATCAGACTAACAGCAGATCTCTCAGCAGAAACCCTGCAAGCCAGAAGAGATTGGGGGCCAATATTCAACATTCTTAAGGAAAGGAATTTTCAACCCAGAGTTTCATATCCAGCCAAATTAAGCTTCATAAGTGAAGGAGAAATAAAATCCTTTAGAGACAAGGAAACACAGAGATTTTGTCACCACCAGGCCTGCCTTACAAGAGCTCCTAAAGGAAGCACTAAACATGGAAAGGAACAATCGGTACCAGCCACTGCAAAAACATGCCAAATTGTAAAGACCATCGACGCTAGGAAGAAACTGCATCAACTAATGGGCAAAATAACCAGCTAACATCATAATGACAGGATCAAATTCACACATAACAATATTAACCTTAAATGTAAATGGGCTAAATGCCCCAATTAAAAGACACAGACTGGCAAATTGGATAAAGAGTCAAGACCCATCAGTGTGCTGTACCCATCTCACATGCAGAGACACACGTAGGCTCAAAATAAAGGGATGGAGGAAGATCTACCAAGCTAAAGGAAAGCAAAAAAAAAGCAGGGGTTGCAATCCTAGTCTCTGATAAAACAGATTTTAAACCAACAAAGATCAAAAGAGACAAAAAAGGCCATCACAAAATAGTAAAGGGATCAATTCAACGAGAAGAGCTAACTATCCTAAATATATATGCAGCCAATGCAGGAGCACCCAGATTCATAAAGCAAGACCTGAAAGACCTAAAAAGAGACTTAGACCCCCACACAATAATAATGGGACACTTTAACACTCCACTGTCAATATTAGACAGATCAATAAGAGAGAAGGATATCCAGGACTTGAACTCAGCTCTGCACCAAGCAGACCTAATAGACATCTACAGAACTGTCCACCACAAATCAACAGAATATACATTCTTCTAAGCACCACATCACACTTATTCCAAAATTGACCACATAGCTGGAAGTAAAGCCCCCCTCAGCAAATGTAAAAGAACAGAAATCACAACAAACTGTCTTTCAGACCATAGTGCAATCAAATTACAACTCAGGATTAAGAAACTCACTCAAAACTGCACAACTGCATGGAAACTGAACAACCTGCTCCTGAATGACTACTGAGTACATAACGAAATGAAGGCAGAAATAAAGATGTTCTTTGAAAACAATGAGAACAAAGACACGACATACCAGAATCTCTGGGACACATTCAAAGCAGTGTGTAGAGGAAAATTTATAGCCCTAAATGCCCACAAGAGAAAGCAGTAAGATCTAAAATCGACACCCTAACATCACAATTAAAAGAACTAGAGAAGCAAGAGCAAACACATTAAAAAGCTAGCAGAAGGCAAGAAATAACTAAGATCAGAGCAGAACTGAAGGAGATAGAGACACAAAAATCCTTCAAAAAATCAATCAATCCAGGAGCTGATTTTTTGAAAAGATCAACAAAATTGATAGAGCACTAGCAAGACTAATAAAGAAGGAAAGAGAGAAGAATCAAATAGACACAATAAAAAATGATAAAGGGGATATTACCACTGATCCCACAGAAATACAAACTACCATCAGAGAATAGTATAAACACCTCTACACAAGCAAACTAGAAAGTCTAGAAGAAATGGATAAATTCCTGGACACAAACACCCTTCCAAGACTAAACCAGGAACAAGTTGAATTGCTGAATAGACCAATAACAGGCTCTGAAATTGAGGCAATAATTAATAGCCTACCAACCAAAAAAAGTCCAGGACCAGATGGATTCACAGCTGAATTCTATAACAGATACAAAGAGAAGCTGGTACCATTCCTTCTGAAACTATTCCAATCAATAGAAAAAGAGGGAATCCTCCCTAACTCATTTTATGAGGCCAGCATCATCCTGATACCAAAGCCTGGCAGAGACACAACAAAAAAAAGAGAATTTTAGACCAATATCCCTGATGAACATTGATGCAAAAATCCTCAATAAAATACTGGCAAACCAAAATCAGCAGCACATCAAAAAGCTTATCCACCAAGATCAAGTTGGCTTCATCCCCGGGATGCAAGGCTGGTTCAACATAGGCAAATCAATAAACATAATCCACCATGTAAACAGAACCAAAGACAAAAACCACATGATCATCTCAATAGATGCAGAAAAGGTCTTTGACAAAATTCAACAGCCCTTCATGCTAAAAACTCTTAATAAACAAGGTATTGATGTAACGTATCTCAAAATAATAAGAGGTATTTATGACAAACCCACAGCCAATATCATACTGAATGGACAAAACCTGGAAGCATTCCCTTTGAAAACTGGCACAAGACAAGGATGCCCTCTCTCACCACTCTTATTCAACATAGTGTTGGAAGTTCTGGCCAGGGCAATCAGGCAGGAGAAAGAAATAAAGGGTATTCAATTAGCAAAAGAGGAAGTCAAATTGTCCCTGTTTGCAGATGACATGATTGTATATTTAGAAAACCCCATCATCTCAGCCCAAAATCTCCTTAAGCTGATAAGCAACTTCAGCAAAGTCTCAGGATGCAAAATCAATGTGCAAAAATCACAAGCATTCTTATACACCAACAACAGACAGAGAGCCAAATCATGAGTGAACTCCCATTCACAACTGCTTCAAAGAGAATAAAATACCTAGGAATCCAACATACGAAGGATGTGAAGGACCTCTTCAAGGAGAGCTACAAACCACTGCTCAACGAAATAAAAGACGACACAAACAAATGGAAGAACATTCCATGCTCATGGACAGGAAGAATCAATATCATGAAAATAACCATACTGCCCAAGGTAATTTATAGATTCAATGCCATCCCCATCAAGCTACCAATGACTTTCTTCACAGAATTGGAAAAAACTACTTTAAAGTTCATATGGAACCAAAAAAGAGCCCACATTGCCAAGACAATCTTCAGCAAAAAGAACAAAGCTGGAGGCATCATGCTACCTGACTTCAAACTATACTGCAAGGCTGCAGTAACCAAAACAGCATGTTACTGGTACCAAAGCAGAGATATAAACCAATGGAACAGAACAGAGGCCTCAGAAATAACACCACACATCTACAACCATCTGATTTTTGACAAATCTGACAAAAACAAGAAATGGGGAAAGGATTCCCTATTTAATAAATGGTGCTGGGAAAACTGGCTAGCCATATGTAGAGGGCTCAAACTGGATCCCTTCCTTACACCTTATACAAAAATTAATTCAAGATGGATTAAAGACTTAAATATTAGACCTAAAACCATAAAAACCCTAGAAGAAAACCTAGGCAATACCATTCAGGACATAGGCATGGGCAATGACTTCATGACTAAAACACCAAAAGCAATGGCAACAAAAGCCAAAATAGAAACACATGATCTAATTAAACTAAAGAGCTTCTGCACAGCAAAAGAAACTACCATCAGAGTGAACAGGCAACCTACAGAATGGGAGAAAATTTTTGCAATCTACCCATCTGGCAAAGGTCTAATATCCAGAATCTACAAAGAACTTAAACAAATTTACAAGAAAAAAATCAAACAACCCCATCAAAAAGTGGGCAAAGAATATGAACAGACACTTTTCAAAAGAAGACATTTATGCAGCCAACAGACACATGAAAAAGTGCTCATCATCACTGGTCATCAGAGAAATGCAAATCAAAACCACAGTGAGATACCATCTCACACCAGTTAGAATGGCAATCATTAAAAAATCAGGTAACAACAGGTGCTGGAGAGGCTGTGGAGAAATAGGAACACTTTTACACTATTAGTGGGAGTGTAAACTAGTTCAACCATTGTGGAAGACATTGTGGCAATTCCTCAAGGATCTAGAACTTGAAATACCATTTGACCCAGCAATCCCATTGCTGGGTATATACCCAAAGGATTATAAATCATGCTACTATAAGGACACATGCACACGTATGTTTATTGTGGCACTATTCACAATAGCAAAGACTTGGAACCAACCCAAATGTCCATCAATGATAGACTGGATTAAGAAAATTTGGCACATATATACCATGGAATACTATGCAGCCATAAAAAAGGATGAGTTCATGTCCTTTGCAGCAACATGGATGTAGCTGGAAGCCATCATTCTCAGCAAACTATCGCAAGGATAGAAAACCAAACACCACTTGTTCTCACTCATAGGTGGGAACTGAACAATGAGAACACTTGGACACAGGGCGGGGAACATCACACACTGGGGTCTGTTGTGGGGTGGGGGGATGGGGGAGGGATAGCATTAGGAGAAATACCTAGTGTAAATGACAAGTTAATGGGTACAGCAAACCAACATGGCACATGTATACATATGAAACAAACCTGCATGTTGTGCACATGTACCCTAGAACTGAAAGTATAATAAAAAAAAAGAAAAAAAAAGAAACACAAATGAATTAAACTACGACAAGTGACAAGACATTTATATTCTTAGAATACTAATGAGAGGATGAAGAATATGCCATAAAAGAGATAAGGAAAACAACTGAAATTGTCCTAAAAAAAAAAGCTGGGCTATAGATGTTACCACCTGCCAATTATTCCCCTGAGCTCTTCACCAAATATTCAGCAATATTACACTAATCTCCAGAGTCAGGGAAGGAAGTTCAGGGAAATTCTCCCTCAGGTGTGAAGGGTTTCCTGTATATTCAAGGCAGCAACCTTAGCAGGTGGGACATCAAGAAAAGAAAGCTAAAAAAAAAAAAAAAAATGTTATCAGTAACTTTAGGCTTTCAAACATGAAAGACTGTGAACACACTAGTAGAACTGAAAGAAACACATCCGGGGCATTCTAGACCTTCATACAGTGAAGAGCATTTGTTCTCTGAATGCCTTGAGGAGACCTCAGCACTCAAAAAAGATATACTATGGCCCAGTAAGCAAGGGGTAAAACTGGAAAGCAAAAACAAAACAAAAAACTCCACAGCTGCTCCAAATTCTAGCAGCTAGGATAGAAAGTAGAAAAATATTTCTCACATTTACAAAAATTGGTAGTGTGACTATAAACTAGGTAAATTTCCAGAATGTTGTTAGTGCACATATCCTAGATCTCACTAAAAGGAATGTCCTGTTCCCAACCTAAAAGTGCTTAAAGTCAGTGGTAAAATAAATTAAAGCCACAACAAACTTCAGATCCAATACATCTGCACATTAGAATAACTTCGACACCTCTCCAGCAGTCTGAAAAAGGTGGTGTGCCCTTTCTGAAGGTAAACATTATTTACTTCTATCTCTACTGATATTTATACAAACTTATCAGTATGCAATAAAACATTGTAGGACACATGTAAAAGTAACAAAATGAGACCCTTGCTCAGAAGAAACAGTTAACAAATGCAGACCCAGATATTTTCAAGACAATGAAATTATTGATGTGGGCTTTAAAACGATTGTGACTAAAATACTAGAGGTTCCAGAAGAAAAGTTTAATGAAATGTGTAAAGAGGTGGGGAAATTTATCAGAGAGATAAAAGCTATAGCAAAAAAATAGGACAGACCCAGTGGCTTATGCCTATAATCCCAGCACTTCGGGAGACCGAATGGGAGCATTGCTTAAGCCCAGGAGTTTGAGACCAGCCTGGGACACATGGCAAAACGCCATCTCTACAAAAAAAAAAAAAAAAAAAATACAAAAATTAGCCAAGTGTGGTGGTGCACGCCTGTGTTCCCAGGTACTCAGGAGGCTAAGGTGGGAGGGTTGTTTGAGCCCAGGAGGCAGAGGTTGCAGTGAGCCATGACGGAACCATTGCACTCCAGCTTGGGTGATAGAGTGAGACCCTGTCTCAAACAAAAAGGAAATCAAATGAAAAGTGCCAAGTCCAAAATAAAAAATTGATTTAATGACTTAACAGTAAACTATCAGAAAACTTGAACAGCAGTTAAATAGGAAGAATCCCAACTAAAACTCAGAATGAAAAAAGTGAACATAACAAAACAGTTATGTGTATTGTAGTCCCCTCAAAAAGAGAGAGGATGAGGCAGAATGATGAGATAATGAATAACATGTTAAAAAACTAGGAACAGACATCAACCCACTGGTCCAAAATGCTCAGCAACGAAAACAGGATAAATACCAAGAAAACTATGCCTATCTGCAGAATAATCAAGTTCCTGGAAATCAAGATAAATAGCAATTTGTAAAAATAGCCAGAGAACAAAAGACTCATTACATATAGGAAAAAAATAATATAAATGGTGGCTACCATTTTATCAGAATAATAAAAGCCAGATGCATATAGAATAACTTTAAAGTGCTAAGCATAAATAAATAAATACTGTCAAATCTAGCGTGCTATCTCCAGTGAAAATATCTTTAAACTATGGAAGCAGTAGAGATATTATCAGATAGCCAAAAGTTAAGAGTTTGTCTCCAACAAATCTACACTTCAATAAATTAATACAGAGTAAATAAATAAATAGAAAAATAAGTTATTTAAGTTGAAAGAAAGGTGGACCAGAGGAAACCAAATTCTTTACAAATGCACGAAGCTATCAGAAAAAGTAAATAACTAAGTAAACATAAAAGACTTAAAATTACCTTGATTATGTTTTTTATATTTTGTTACATTTATAAATTTTAAGGGACTTGTTTTTTATTTAAAAAATAGTAAAAAAAATAGAGCATATCTGTAAGTAAATTATGATAACCCAAGAAACAAAGAATAGGGAAAAATAAATGGAATTATAGTGTTATAACTTTTATAAGGTTCTTATGCAGACTCTGAGGTCATATGTTATTTTTATTTAAAGGTAGACTGTAATGACTTCATAATTTTTATTGTAATTTCTAAAGCAACCAATTTAAAAAGAGATATAACTAAAATGTCAATACAAGAGATAAAATAAAATACTCCCCATCCCCTGCAAAAAAATGTGATTTACCAAACAGAAGACATGAAAGGAAGAACAGGAAAAAAAAAAAGTATAAAGAGGACAAATAATTAATACCAAAATGGAACACCGAAACAAACATGTCAATAATTACATACTATGTAAATGGGATAACCATTCCAATTAAAAGAGCTTACTATACCGAATAACAAAACAAGACCCAAATATATGCTGTTTACAAAAAGCATCCTTGATATAAAGACACAGATGGATTCAAATTAAAAGTGTAGAAAATATTCTTGTGAAAACAGTAAGCATAAGAAAACTTGCATAGCTATACTAATGTCAGACAAAGAAGATTTCAAGACAAGAGTACTACTAGAAAGAAAAGAGTGTGTGTTATGTCAAAACAAACAAGTCATCAAGAAAACATAAAATCCTAAGCATGTATGCGCTTAATTATTACAGAGTTTGAAAAGACATTAATCAAATTTGACAAAACTAATGGAAAAAATAGATAAATCCATAATTGTAGTTGGAGATTTTAGCAAACCTTTCTAAGTAACTATTAGAATAAGTAGACAAAATTCAGTGAAAATATAGATTTTAAATACACTATCAATCTGACCCAATTGGCACACATAGGATATTACTTCTAACTGCAGAATATATATTTTTTTGAAGTGACCTAAAATATTCACTAAGATAGACCACATCGTGGGTCTTAAACAAATTGCAATACATATCAAATAATCATAATCATACAGAATTATTCTCAGGCTGCAATGATATCATATTAGAAATTAATAAATATATCTAGCAATATACTTAGCATGTATAGAAATTATAGAAGTTTTAATATATATAATATATTTGAATAAATATATTTGAATAAATATAAAATAGATACATAAAATGAATATAGTAACTATATATGTATAAGTATAGAGAAATTATAAATATGTAGAAAATCTAGAAATTAAAGTATGCCCAAATAGCTCATAGTTCAAAGAAAATATACAGGAAAATTAGAGAATACATTGGAGTAAATAATAAAAACACAGTGCATAAAAATAAAGGATGCAGTTATGCCAAAAGAAAAATTTTTAGCTTGAAATGAAAGTTTTTAAAAATAATAAAAGTCTAAAATAATAACCTAAGAGTCCACCTGAACATGCTAGAAAAAGAATAGCAAATTATATGCAAATAAGAAGAAAAAATTAAAAATAAAAGTAGAAACCAGTGAAATAGAAGTTGAACAAAAAATTGAGAAAATGAAGAGGTGAATAATTGATTTTTTTGAAAAGATTAATCTAGCTAAAATGATCAAAAAATATAGAGGAAACACAAATTAACATCATGAATAAAGCATTTAAATGATAAGGTATGTTATAACAAATAAATTTTATTATAAATGTTATTTTTGAACAATATAGATCTCCTAAAATATAGATCATTATACAAGACCCAGCAAATGGATCAATTTCAAAAATAATGTGTTAAATAAAAGAAGACAGACATGGAAGAATACTTATTCAATAATTCCATTTATAGGAAGTCCAAGAACAGATAAATAGTTACAGAGATTAAAAAGTCATAGAAGCTGTGATGGGGAGGAAAATAAATTTTTGAAAATGTGCATGAGGGAAATTTCTGGTGTGTTGGAAAAGGTCTATATTTTGCTTTCTTTGGTGTTTAGACAGGGGCTATACGATTGTTAACCGAACGATTAAGATGTGTATTTTATTTTATGTTACTTACTTCTCAATTATTTAAAAAAAAACTTGTAAAGTTTCATTCTATGCTTGGAAGAGAGGTTGAACCCTATCATTGCCTTATTTTTGACATCTTCAATGACCTGATAGTCGTCTTTTTACTTAGCTTTCTCTCAATCCACTGGCCCCATACATCTCTTGCGAGTGTTTTTCCCTCCTTGTAAGCCTTTCTCACGACTATTTGTACTTTCTAGAATAATACCCTCCTTAACCTATCCAAATTCTACTGATCCTTCAAAGCCCAGTTCTAGTCTCCCCTGTCTTGCCCATCTATTCTTGTCATTATTAGTAGTAGTAACATTAATATTATTATGAATAATAACTACCATTCATTGACGATAGTACATTCTGTACCCTGTATTGCTTCATGTGTTTAATCACTTCTTATAACCACTCCATGAAACAGATAATATCTCTATCCCTATTACAATAAACAAAGACTCCTAAAGCAATTTGCAAAACATTGCAAAACTAAAACAGTTAACGTTGTCTGACTATGAAAACTGTGCTCTTAAGCCCATATTATTACATTTAATCTTATTCTTTCTTTTGGCCAGTACAACTAAATAATTTAATATATTCGTTTTTGTTGTTACTCTCTCTTAAAGATGAAAACCAGGGCTGTCATTTCTCTTACTCCTCCTAAAATTCTTAACATATTTGTAGTCACATAGACAGGAAAATTGTTGTTGACTGACTGAAAATAAAGTTATTGTCTCCATGTCTCTGGGTCTAGATCTTTGCCTAAGTAAATAAAGGAAACAGCCACATAATTATGGCTAAAATAATGGGAGTTTTGTTGATTTATGACTAAATTGTTGTGAATACTATCACTTGTCTGACATCCCCTACATAGATTATACTGTAATAATGTTTACAGCAAATCTCTTAAACATTGACATGAATACACACGTATGTTTACTGCAGCACTATTTACAATAGGAAAGACTTGGAACCAGCCCAAAGGCCCATCAATGATAGACTGGATAAAGATAATGTGGCACATATGCACCCTGGAATACTTTGCAGCCATAAAACAGGATGAGTTCATGTCCTTTGCAGGGACATGGATGAAGCTGGAAACCATCATTCTCAGCGAACTAACACAGGAACAGAAAACTAAACACCACATGTTCTCACTCATATGTGGGAGCTGAACAATGAGAACACAGGGACACAGGGAGGGAAACATCATACACTGGGGCCTGTCAGGGGGTGGGGGGCTAGGGGAGGGATAGCATTAGGAGAGATACCTAATGTACATGATGGGTTCATGGGTGCAGTAAACCACCATGGCACGTGTATACCTATTTAACAAACCTGCATGTTCTGCACATGTATCCCAGAACTTAAATTGTAATAAATAAATAAAATAAAATAAAAATAAAACATTGGCATGAATATAGAGACGTAGTTATTATGTGTACAAATATTTAGTATTCAACAGATATATAATGAAAGCAAGGTTAAGTCATTTGTATAAAACCTTTTAACACAAAATTAAAGCTAGAGATGTTTTATTTTACCCCCTTGTTTTTCTAAAAGACCAAGTGACAAATGTTGCATGTTGTAATTTGAGTTGTCATTGTTAAGTTTTGGAAATTTCCTGTCATCCTTTGTTTCTTTTATGAAAATATAAATATTATCCTTTTGAATATATCAAGGTATTCTTATTTTATATCAATGAATACTCATTGTGAAAGTGTTCTCCACCCTTACCACTTCTCTTGCTCTTCTGAATATCACAGGTAATGACATTTATTTGTCTCCCTTGTCTTCTGACTTTCAACTAGACATGACCATTAGTAGCCATGGCAAAATTTGGAGGGTGAGAGCAGGGTAAAAAAATTCAATGTATTTCTATCCTTCTCTTTCTACTTCTGGTGACATCTCTGGCAGGGATCATGTATCCTGCTGGTCCAAACTTCCATCATGCAGCTTCCCAACTGCCCCCACAATTGTAATTCCCATAGGAGGACCTACCTTCTGGTCTCTGATAACACCATCCCTTTATCTCATCTCTCCAGCCCTCATATATGGTGCTGTCCTGCTGCTGCTAAGCTGTAGGTTGCTTCACCTTCTGCTTTTTTTATGCCTCAGCTGTTCTCTCTTTTAAAATAAAATAGACAGCAATTTCCAGTAATTGCCCTCTGTAGTAAATCTCGCCTCTTTGAAAGACCTGAAAAGGTGTCTATTTTCTTATTTGGACCTTGACTGATATACCCATTAACTATCCTCTTTTAAATTAATCAGCTAGTACAACCCAATGTTCGTATGTTACAGTAATGTACTTTCAAAAGCTTCAAATCCAGTAGTAAAACCTTCTCAGAAAACAAGTAAGCAATTTATGAAAATCCTTTTATTATCCTTTATTATTATCTCATTGAAGTTGTGATGACAACAATTGTAGCACAATGGAAGTTTCATTGCCCTATTCTTGTTGATAATATAAAGCTGCAAGTCACACTGATGATCATGAACACTAATTTCTGTTTTGGTCAGTGTTTCCTCCTTATTTAAATTTGTAAGTCACGTTTTGATTTCTGATTGGATTTGTCAGGAAATTGAACTGGAATGCCTAGCATAAATTATCAGTTAATTAGTAGCCAGTGGAAAACTTCCACTAAATAAAATGAAATAGACATATGTTCCCACCTAAAGATGACAAGCATCTCAAGTAGCATTTCAAAAGAGGAGTAGTCATACTTTTGAAAGGTAAGAAGACTAAGGCAACATATTTTATTCCTATGGATTTATTAGTGAATTAGCAAATTCTGCAAATTTATCTCATTTTTTACATCATGAATATATAATATTAAAATTTAATGCCTTTCTAAAATACTGTGTAATTTCTCTGTCTTGAGATAAATCAGAACATACTCTGTTAAACCCATTGAAACTCAGGATTCAATAGGTTTACTCTAGAGCCTCACACCAAGATGAGCCCCTAAGCCCCTGACACAGCCATCTGAAACTGCATTACGTGATGTTGTTGACTGTGCCCTAGATATACATCTGGGAAACTCAAAATTAGAGCTTCCTATATCAGGAATAGCAAACTAAAATGTGTTCTTTGTTTCTACTGCCCTGATACGCATAAAGACAGGAATAACTTCATGCTCTACCAAGGCAGGCACATTCTTTGATAATCTGCCAATGTTTTGCAGTGTTGTTAATCCAATAACAAATTAAATGTCTACAACTTGGGTCAGTGGAAAAAAGGCCTGAATCCACTGCTGCTTTCACTTACTGCCATCAATGTCCTCAACTAATACCACCACCAACAAAGAGTAGATAGTCTACTGTATATGTAAGTGATGATTTGGAAACAGGATTTAATGTCACTTAATGATGTGCAATCTTGGGAGGCATGCTTCACCCTTTGGATTTTAGCTTACTCATCTATAAAGCAAAGAGTCCATATGACTGATCTCCAAATCTCTTTTATCTCTAATATTCCTTGACTTGGAATCTCAATCTCCCTTTGTTTGGCAATATTGTCTCCTTCTTAACTTGGCTAGATGTGCAAGGGAACACTGGAAACAAGACTCCCAAAGAACTGTGATATGGATAAATAAAATTATAGAAAACCTAGCACTCATATTATTTTTTTAAAACCTATAGAAAAAATGCTAAACTATGTAGAAAAGCTACTGACCATCAACAAGTAAGACTGAGTGATGTGAAAGTCAAAGTTGGATAACTGAACTAGAGCAGAAATAAAAAGAAAGTACCAAAGAGAGAAAAATTCAGTAGAAGAAATCATAAATTTTCTTGTGCATTCCCTAAAGTTCAAGGGACAGTAAAGCCACTCACTTCATATTCACTCTTCTGAGATAATTAGAAATACATGTACATAAAACAATGATCTTTTAAACCAAAACTTAGAGTAGCACAAACAATGTGGAAATGCTCCCTTTACAATTTGATAGGTATATACCCTGAGCTAGGAAGCATTTTCTTTTTGGCCTAGAAGAAAGGAATTACTTAAGCATCTGACAGAGAGAATCTCTAAAAAAATTTCTAACTTCTTTTTCTTTCATTTTTCATTTTACCTCATTCTCAGGTAACTGGAAATTAAACAAAAGGAAAGTCCATTCTGTGATGCAGTTTCATTTAAAAACAGGAAACAGTTTATCAAGTCAAGTAGGTATCTTTGTGCATTTTTACTCTATGAACAATTTATTCTTGAGTATTTGAGATGTAACGGGTGAAAGAATATCACATAATAGAGACATATTTCTGTGTTTGGACAAGAATTTGCTTTGTAGTAGTGAAGGAAAATTGAGTTGCTCAATATGGTTGTCAATGCATATAATCACAAGGAGTGTAATGAAAAAAATCAAATAGCTCCCCAATTTTCCAATATAAACTCAAAGTTTAATCTGTCTTTTGTGTGTTTTCAGAACTGGTTGCCCACAGAGTTTGGAGGTTTTATAACTTATCATAGGTTAAGACAGGTAATCCAGTTTTTTTTTTTTTTTTGTACACAAATGGAGAGCTCAGTACTTTGATAATAAAATAGAGCTTCAAGGTTTCATTAGTAAATTGTGTGTCCTCACCGCATATGATCACAAAGACCATATGAGCATTATATAGAATCATGTATGTTCTTCCCACCACAGACTCCCCTATCTCCTGACCAATCTACCAACTCCGAATAAAGAAGGGAAAAAAACTCATCCTTTTAGAATCTGCTTCCGAAAGTTTAGAGCACTAGATAGTCTTTTGGGGTCAGGAATTATTAATCCTAGACATGATCATCAAAATAATAAAAATAGCAACAAAAGCATTAATAATAATAATAGTTGTCATAATATTGAATACTTATGTAAGGATTTACATACATTGCCTAATTTGATTTTCACAACCCTGCTAAAGTATGTATTATTATGTTATGCATTTTATAAATGAAGAAGGCAAGACTTGGAGAAGTTATATCAGCTAATTAATATATATACAGCTAATTAATGAAAGATTTGAGATGTGTCTGCTCTAAGATGGACCGCTTTCAGGAGCCAGCGGATTCTGCTTTTCTTCTTCCCATTTCTCACAACTGGAATCCCTCAGTACCTATTCCTGGAGATCAAAAGCAGTAAAGCAGAAACTATTGCAAGCCATTTTTTAAATATAAAGAACTATTATTTTTAAAAAATAAGCTTTATCAATTTATCACAGAGTGACCTCTCTTGAACTAGAAAGGAAAAAGTTCACTAAGAAATATTGAGGTATAGTTGCTAGTTTATTCCTTTCAGGTCTTATCCACT
Organism: Homo sapiens; assembly: GCF_000001405.40. Classification (NCBI taxonomy): domain Eukaryota; kingdom Metazoa; phylum Chordata; class Mammalia; order Primates; family Hominidae; genus Homo; species Homo sapiens. The sequence goes on along the minus strand of NC_000007.14, from coordinate 93,648,542 downwards.
AGTATTGCTAGATATTTTATCAATTATATTATCCTGAAAATTATTTCATATGCTTAATTTAATGTTGTCTCTTAGAGGAGAAGTTTCTAAGCCTATGCAGCAAATTCTTGATTGATGTTAGAATGGTTCACAAAGGTTTTTGTGAGTGTTTGTGATGTTAAAACAATGCAGTATTTTCATTTTTTAACATGAGTAGTATTTAAACTTTGTTTTAAGAGGTTGCAAGTTGTGTTGAGCACATATAAGTAGAGATAAGCTGAATATATTAATAACTTAGTTAACATTTGTTTTAAAATTCAACTGCAAGTTACCAGCCTCCATAGTGCTTGTTTTTTTTAAACAGCTTCATTGAGCTACGATTCACATATCACACAGTATACCCATTTGAAGTGTATAATTCGATGTTTTTAGTATATTCACTAGGCTGTGAAATGAGCATCTCAATTTATTTCAAAATGTTTTGTCTCTTCTAAAAGAAATGTCATGCCCCACAGTAAATACCCATCCCACTCCACCCCTCTCCCCAACCACCGTCAGCCCTGAGAAACCACAAATCTGCTTCTTGTCTCTGAGTTTTCCTATACTAGGCATTTTATATAAATTTGACTATTTAATCTATCCCTTTCTGTGACTAGATTTTTTTCACTGAGAATATTGTTTTAAAGATCCAACCATCTTGTAACTTGTATCAGTATTTCATTTCTTTTTATTGCAGAATAATATTCTATTTAATGCATATACAATACTATATTTATCCATTCATCAGTTGATGAATATTTGGGTTGTTTTCACTATTTGGCTATTATGAATAATGCTACTGTGAACATTGTGCATTGGGCTCAAGTGGACACAAAAATTTTATTTCTCTGAGGCAAATACCTAGGAGCAGAATTGCTGGGGTTTCTGGTTAACTTTATTTTTAACTTTTTGAGGAAGTGTCAAATTGACCTCCTCAGCAACTGCCCTGTTTTATATTCCACCAGCAATGCATAAGGGTTGCAAATTATTTACATCCCCTCCAACTGTTAATATCTGTCTTTTTTATTGTAGATACCCTAGTGTGTGTAAAGTAGTATCACATTCTGTTTTTGATTTGCATTCCCCTAATGACTACTGATGCTGATAATATCTTTTAATATGCTTAGCCATTTACACATCTTCTTTGGAGAAACGTCTATTCAAATCCTTTTCTTTTCTTTTTTTTTTTTTTTTGACACGGAGTTTCGCTTTTGTTGCCCAGGCTGGAGTGCACTGGCACAATCTCAGCTCACTGCAACCTCCGTCTCCTGGGTTCAAGCGATTCTCCTGCTTCAGCCTCCTTTCAGCCTCCTGAGTAGCTGGGATTACAGACACCCACCACCATGCCCAGCTAATTCTTTTATTTTTAGTAGAGATGGGGTTTCACTATGTTGGTCAGGCTGGTCTTGAACTCCTGACCTCAGGCAATCCACCCGCCTCGGCCTCCCAAAGTGCTGGGATTATAGGCGTGAGCCAACATGCCCGGCCCCCTTTTCTGATTTTTAAAATTGTTACTGTTTTTTATTAAGGTAAAACTCATATAACACGAAATTAATCATTTTAAAGTGTACAACACAGTAAAATCATTTTAAAGCATTTAGTACTTTCACAATACACCACTATTTCCTCTATCTAATTTCAAAATTACCTGTTGGTGCTCAATATAAATCACATTATTTGTGAGAAATCTAGACAAACTGTTAAAGTATGGCGCAAAGGCCCTAAGCATGCAAAACACTCTTAACAGTCAGAGCATTCCATGAGCTCAATTCCCAGTAGCTGGTCAAAAGCTTGTGATGAAAACAGGCCCTTCTTGGGAATACACAAGTTTTGAGCAACTCAAGACTGCTAGGTTAACCCTTTCCCCTACAACCTGTATTGAGAATATATAAATAGCTTTTAAAACTCAATAATAAGGCAAGCAAAGAAATAAAAATGGTAGAAATACTTTTTTAAAAAACTTCACTAAAGAAGATATATGAATGGCCAAAAAGCGCTTAGAAAAGATTCTCAACATCTTTCCTCATCAGGGAAATGAAAATTAAACAATGAGATACCACTAGACATAAGTATAATAGGATAGAATTAAGAAGATTGACAATACCATATGTTGGCTTCAATGTAGAGCAACTTGAAGTCTCATATATTGTTGGTGAGGTTGTCAAATGGCATAGCCACTTTGGAAAATAAACATACACTTACCATAAAATTCAGCAATGCCCAAGAAAATGAAAATATATGCCAACACAGACTTATATTCAAATGTTCATAACAGTTCTATTAATAATAGCCCAAATTGGAAACAATCCAAATTCCCTCAACAGGTGAATGGATTTACAAACTGTGGTGTATTCTTGCAATGTAATACTACTTGGAAATGTAAAAGCATGAACTTCAAATACACACACTACTGATACATACAATCACCTAAATATGTCTCAAAAATGTGATGCTGAGCAAAAGAAGCCAGACATGACTGATGATTTATGGAATTCTGCAAAAAGAAAACTAGTTTGTAAAGTTGGAAATCAGATAAGTGACTGCCAAGGGCTACAGATGGGGGTGGGGGGGAGGGTTGACCACAAAAATCACAGAAGAATTTGGGGGAGTGAAGAAAATGTTTAATCTTAATTAGGATTGTGGTTGCATATGTTTGTCAGAACTCATCAAACAGAACTATTAAAACAGGTGTATTTGTTGTGTGAAAATTATCCCTCACAGAGGAAGATTTGTAAAAAGTGAAGCTGGGTGCACCACATTAATACTCAACTGCATTTTATCACTTATCTTCCAGTTATGTGAGTAAATAAAGCTCCTTTCCATTAAATCAATTTTGATTGATTTTTCGTTACTTGCTTACAAAAGCATCCATACTGATGTATCTCATAAATCATAAACAATCTGTAATATATACAGACAAACCAGTTGATTATTTTATGCATAAAATTCATGTATTGCAAATAATTAGGTTTTCACTCGCATCCCTGTGAAGAGACCACCAAACAGGCTTTGTGTGAGCAATAAAGCTGTTTATTTCACCTGGGTGCAGGTGGGCTGAGTCCCAAAAGAGAGTCAGCGAAGGGAGATAGGGGTGGGGCCATTTTATAGGATTTGGGTAAAGGAAAATTACAGTCAAAGGGGGGTTTTCTCTGGCGGGCAGAGTGGGGGGTCACAAGGTGCTCAGTAGGGGAGCTTTTGAGCCAGGATGAGCCAGGAGAAGGAATTTCACAAGACAATGTCATCAGTTAAGGCAGGAACAGGCCATTTTCACTTCTTTTGTGGTGGAATGTCATCAGTTAAGGCAGGAACCGGCCATCTGGATGTGTATGTGCAGGTCACAGGGGATATGATGGCTTAGCTTGGGCTCAGAGGCCTGACATTCCTGTCTTCTTATATTAATAAGAAAAATAAAACAAAATAGTGGTAAAGTGTTGGGACGGTAAAAATTTTTGGGGGTGGTATGGAGAGACAATGGGCAATGTTTCTCAGGGCTGCTTCTAGCAGGATTAGGGGCGGCATGGGAACCTAGAGTGGGAGAGATTAAGCTGAAGGAAGATTTTGTGGTAAGGGGTGATATTATGGGACTGTTAGAAGAAACATTTGTCATTTAGAATTATTGGTGATGGCCTGGATACGGTTTTGTATGAATTGAAAAACTAAACCGAGTAAGAGAAGGAGAAAAACAGGTATTAAAGGTCTAAGAATTGGGAGGACCTAGGACATCTATAAGAGTGCCTAAGGAAATTCAGCATAGTCCTGTCAGCAAAGATTATTTATTTACTTCAAGAGTTAAGAGTGGCAGTCTGGGGATAGCACCAGGAGATATCAGCTGTGATGGCTTGGAGAAACAGTGTAAACTGGCAGTGTAAACAAGAGCACGGCATGTATGAGTAGTTGAGAACGGTGAATAAGAGTATGACTAGACAGAGATAGTAGGGAAGACAAGTTTTTTGGGGCACAGTCTAAGATGGTCTGGTGTCAAATGAAACTGGGGCCTAATAAAAAGGAGCATCTATTCAGGAGCTCAAATGGGCTGTACCCTGTAGCATTCTGAGGACAGGTCTGACTTCTGAGAAGGGAAAGTGGTAAAATATTGTCCAGTCCATTTTTAAGTTGGTGGCTGAGCTTGGTGAGGTGTGTTTTTAAAAGACCTTTAGTCCGTTCTACCTTTCCTGAAGATGGAGGACTGTAAGGGATATAAAGGTTTCACTGAATACTAAGAGCCTGAAAAACTGCTTGGCTGATTTCACTAATAAAGGCTGGTCTGTTATCAGACTGTATAGAGGTGGGAAGGCTAAACTGAGGAATTATGTCTGACAGAAGGGAAGAAATGACTGCGGTGGCCTTCTCAGACCCTGTAGGAAAGGCCTCTACCTGTCTAGTGAAAGTGTCTACTTAGACTAAGAGGTATTTTAGTTTTTGTGACTTGGGGCATGTTGAGTAAAGCTAATTTGCCAGTCCTGGGCAGGGGCAAATCCTTGAGCTTGATGTGTAGAGAAGGGAGGGGGCCTGAATAATCCCTGAGGAGTAGTAGAATAGCAGATGGACAACTGAGAAGTTATTTCCTTGAGGATAGATTTCCAGGATGGAAAGGAAATGAGAGGTTCTAAGAGGCGGGCTAGTGGCTTGTACTATAGCATAGCCTGGCTTTGCTGGTGTGTGGCAATTAGGCCTGGTGGAAGTGCCATCAATAAATCAAGCGTGATCAGGGTGAGGAACAGGAAAGAAGGAAATATGGGGAAATGGGGTGAATGTCAGATGGATCAGAGAGATACAGTCATGGAGGTCAGGTGTGGTATCAGGAATAATGTGGGAGGCGAGATTGAAGTACGGGCCAGGAAAATGGTAATAGTGGGACTTAACAAAGAGTGGGTACAGCTGAAGGAGCCGGGGAACAGAAAGTATATGCATCAGGTATGAGGAAGAAAATAGATTTTGGAAGTTATGAGAAATGTAGAGAGTGAGTTGAGCATAGTTTGTGATTTTGAGGGCCTCTAAAAGTATTAGGGTGGCAGCAGCCGCTGCACGGAGACATGATGGCTAGGCTAAAACAGTAAGGTCAAGTTGTTTACAGAAAGGCTACAGGGTGCAGTCCTGGCTCTTGTGTAAGAATTCTGACCACACTAACCATGCCTAGGAAGGAAAGGAGTTGTTGTTTTGTAAGGGATTGAGGTTTGGGAGATTAATCGGACACGATCAGCAGGGAGAGCACGTGTGTTCTTATGAGAATTACGCTGAGATAGGTAACAGATGAGGATGAAATTTGGGCTTGACTGAAGTAATGGGGGCTGTCTGTGAAGCCTTGCAGCAGTACAGCCCAGGTAATTTGTTGAGCCTAATGGGTGTCAGGGTCAGTCTAAGTGAAAGCAAAGAGAGGCTGGGATGAAGGGTGCAAAGGAATAGTAAAGAAAGTATGTTTGAAATCCAGTACAGAATAATGGTTTGTAGAGGGAGGTATTAAGGATAGGAGAGTATATGGGTTTGGCACCATGGGATGGATAGGCAAAACAATTTGGTTGATAAGGTGCAGATCCTGAACTAACCTGTAAGCCTTGTCTGGTTTTAGGACAGGTAAAATGGGGGAATTGTAAGGAGAGTTTATAGGCTTTAAAAGGCCATGCTCTAGCAGGCAAGTGATAATAGGCTTTAATCCTTTCAAAGCATGCAGTGGGATGGGATCTTGGCACTGAGCAGGGTAAGGGTGATTAGATTTTAATGAAATGGTAAGGGGTGCATGATTGGCCACCAAGGAGGGAGTAGAGGTGTCTTATACTTGTGGGTTAAGGTGGGGAGATACAAAGGGAGGATGTGAAGGAGGCTTTGAACTGGAGAAAAAGGTGGCAATGAGGTGTGGCTGTAGCCTAGGAATAGTCAGGGAAGCAGATAATTTAGTTAAAGTGTCTCGGCCTAATAAGGGAACTGGGCAGGTGGGGATAACTAAAAAGGAGTGCTTAAAAGAGTATTGTCTAAGTTGGCACCAGAGTTGGGGAGTTTTAAGAGGTTTAGAAGCCTGGCCGTCAATACCCACAACAGTTATGGAAGCAAGGGAAACAGGCCCTTGAAAAGAAGGTAATGTGGAGTGAGTAGCCTCCGTATTGATTAAGAAGGGGACGGACTTACCCTCCACTGTAAGAGTTACCTAGAGCATCTGTGATGGTCCTGTAGGCTTCTGAGGCGATCGGGCAGTGTCAGTCTTCAGCTGCTAAGCCGAGAAGATCTGGGCAGGAGTCAGTCAGACAGCCTTGGACCAGAGTCCCAGGGGCTCTGGAAGTGGCTGCCAGGTGAGTTGAACAGTCCAATTTTCAGTGGGGTCCCACACAGATGGGACATGGCTTAGGAGGAATCCTGGGCTGCAGGCATTCCTTAGCCCAGTGGCCAGATTTCTGGCACTTGCAGCAAGCTCCTGGGGGAGGAGGTTCTGGAGGAATGCCTGGCCACTGCGATTCAGGCGTTTGGAAGTTCTTATGTGCTGGAGATGTGGCTGGGGTTTGTCTCACAGTGGAGGTAAGGAATTGCAACTTTTTTCTATTATTGTACACCTTGAAGGCAAGGTTAATTAAATCCTGTTGTGGGGTTGGAGGGTCAGAATTTAATTTTTGGAGTTTCATTTAATGTCGGGAGCAGATTGGGTAATAAAATGTATTTTGAGACTAAGATGGCCTTTTGAACTTTTAGGGTCTAGGGCTGTAAAGTGTCTCAGGGTTGCTGCCAAACGAGTCATGAACTGGGCTGGATTTTTATATTTGATGAAAAAGAGCCTAAATGCTGTCTGATTTGGGATAAAGAAAAAGGACTATTAACCTTGACTATGCCTTTAGCTCCAGCCACCTTTTTAAGAGTAAATTCCTGGCCAGGTGGGGGAGGGCTAGTCACCGAACGAAACTGTAAGCCGGACCAGGTGTGAGGAGGGGAGGTGATAAAAAGATTATAGGGTGGAGACAGGCTGAGGAAGAATTGGAACCTAGCTCGGCCTGGCAAGGAGCAGCCTGGAGAGGAGGGGAGAGGTCAGGTGGGTCTGTAGAAAAGGAAGATTAGAAAGACTCAGCGACGCTTGGGGTTGGGACTGAGGGGACAGGCAGGAGGGAAAGAAGGAAGATTTGGGACGAGTCCCACTGGGCACAGAGACTAGGGAGGGACCGATTTGTAAAAGAATGCCTGGATGTCAGGCACCTCAGACCATTTGCCCATTTTTCGACAAAAATTATTTAGGTCTTGTAGGATGGAGAAATTGAAAGTGCCGTTTTCTGGCCATTTAGAGCAACTGTCGAGTTTGCACTGGGGTCAAGCGGCATTGCAGAAGAAAATAAGATGCTTAGATTTTAGGTCAGGTGAGAGTTGAAGAGGTTTTAAGTTCTTAAGAATACAGGCTAAGGGAGAAGGAGGAGGAATGGAGGATGGAAGGTTGCCCATAGTGAAGGAGGCAAGCCCAGAGAAAAGAGAGAGTAGAGACACGGAGGGAAGGGGTTCACGGGTTCTTACCCTCCAGAAAAGTGGGAAAGGGGTCAGGGCACAGAGATACGAGGTCGGGGCATGGAAATAAGGGATTGGGGCACAGAGATATAAGAGGTTGGGGTACTTGCCCCTCCCCTAGAAAAGCGGGACTTGCTGCTAAGGGTGAAGGAGAAGGGGTTGGGGGTTCCTTGCCCCCTAGAAAGGTGGAGAAGGGGTAGAAACATGGAGAGAAGGGGTTGGGGTACTTGCCCCTCCCACAGAAAAGTAGGACTTGCTGCTAAGGGTGAAGGACCGAGGCAGGCATCCCTGAATGGTGTGACACCTCTGAAACGTGGGTAAATAATCAGAGAGGTGTCCCTGCAATGATTAAACATCAAGGGAAGTCTGTCTTCCCAGTCTGTGACCGGCGCCGGAGTTTTGGGTCCACGGATAGAACGTGTCTCCTTTGTCTCTACCAGAAAATGAAAGGAATTGAAATTAAAAGAAGGGAGAGATTGAAGTGTGGCTCCAAGATTGAAAGGAGAAAGAGGTTGAAGGATAGTGAGGGAGGTTGGAGAAGAGAGTAAAAAGAGGCTGCTTACCGGATTTGAAATTGGGGAGATGTTTCTTGGCTGGTTGGTCTGAGGACCTGAGGTCATAGGTGGATCTTTCTCATGGAGCAAAGAGCAGGAGGACAGGGGATTGATCTCCCAAGGGAGGTCCCCCGATCCAAGTCACGGCACCAAATTTCACTCGCGTTCGTGTGAAGAGACCACCAAACAGGCTTTGAGTCAGCAATAAAACTGTTTATTTCACCTGGGTGCAGGTGGGCTGAGTCCGAAAAGAGAGTCAGCGAAGGGACATAGGGGTGGGGCCATTTTATAGGATTTGGGTAGGTAAAGGAAAATTACAGTTAAAGGGGGGTTGTTCTCTGGCGGGCAGAGTGGGGGTCACAAGGTGCTCAGTAGGGGAGCTTTTGAGCCAGAATGAGCCAGGAGAAGGAATTTCACAAGACAATGTCATCAGTTAAGGCAGGAACGGCCATTTTCACTTCTTTTGTGGTGGAATGTCATCAGTTAAGGCAGGAACCGACCATCTGGATGTGTATGTGCAGGTCACAGGGGATATGATGGCATAGCTTGGGCTCAGAGGCCTGACATAGGTTATAAAACTAGTTTTCATATATTTTCATAGTTTCTACTATAGTTATCTTTTAATCTACATTTGAACATATATTTAGTTCCCTACCAAAAATCATACATGTCAGTATTATGTTTTTCCCCCAAAATGAAATTTAAGCTAAACTAAAATTCATAGTTGTTACATGATATATATGAAATTTGCTTTTATGTAAATATTATTAAATGTTTCATTCAAATATACATACATATAAAAATATATCATGAATTTTATGACATTTAGATCTGAAATTATATAACACAGATTAGATTAAAATATAAATATTTAAAATACATTTTTAAAAAATTTCCAATATGTAAGATATTTGGGGTAAATAAATGACATAGAGATGGACAGATATTTACAGTAAGTTCATTCTAAATTTGAGGAGTGCTAATTTATCATATTAGAAATTAGAAAAGTCACATTCATGGGTTACTAAATATCATTATAGTTTTTTTCTCTTTCTTGGTTGTTAGTAAGTGACAAAATGTAATTACTAAAGCTCTCTAACTTTTCAGACTTTTGTGTATTCTTTTCTATCAATGGACAGCTTAAAGAAATATATAAAATGGACCATAAAACACAGATTGCATAAGTATTCCAGAAATGATTAACACATAAAGGATTTCCATTTATTTCTAAATTGTGCACATTATCCTTGCCTTTCTTTCTCTGCATGTTTTCCTAAAAAAACCATACTCTGGGGGATAGTAAAAAGGCTTCTGTTTTGTTATTTCTTTTGGATTGGATACCCGCTTACATTTCAGCAATGTGTTAAATCACTTTTCAAACTAATCTGAGAACCGCTTTCTGAGGTGACCCTATTTTTATCTGGCCAACTTTGGGATCATTTTATGTCCTGAAACCAAAGTTGATTATTTATTAATGAATAGACTTTTTTATTAATGAATAGACTAAGCAGATACTCATGCCTGTCTAAACTAAGTTGCTGTATAGTCTTCTTGCATGATGTAGCAATGATGATGTTGAGTTCTAATTCAGTTGATGAGGATATTTGCACATGAATTTCCTTTTGCAGTACCTTTATGATAGCGCTATCTACATAAATTCCATCTATGCAAAATAAATAATTGATTTTGCTCTGTGGCCTCATTCTTTCTTCAATAGAATAAGGAAGAAAATTTTGAAATATTGAGTAAAAACTTCTTCTGAAAGATGAATTCTGATGAGAATCTTGCTAAATAAATATTTAATTAGTATTACAGAGAGAAGACAGTGGTCAAAACAACTTTCATCTTTCAGAAGAAGTTTTTACTCAATATTTCAAAATTTTCTTCCTTATTCTATTGAAGAAAGAATGAGGCCACAGAGCAAAAAAAGTTTCCAGTTAGTAGTAGTGTCATCAGTTCAAAAAAAGTTTCCAGTTAGTAGTAGTGTCACCATGGAGATATTTCATCCCTTTAAGCTTTAGTTTCCTAATCTATTAAATAAACAAATTAGGATGGACAAAATTAAATTACAAATAAGAAAGTAAAAATATACTTAGCAAAGTGAATGACACAAATAAATGGTCAATAACTTTTATTTTTAAAAATTGTTACTGTTATTTTTATCATTATTTTTGCCTAATAATTACATTTTTTTCTTTATTTGCTAAACTATTGAAGTACAAAGACAAATGAAGGCATCAGAAATGGTCTTGTTCATTTCATAGTCTATCATTACGAACAAGACATGCTAACAGATGGTTTAATACAGCGAGATGATCTCTATCATGATATGAAAAATGTGCTGTGGTATTTCAAGGGAAGAAGACATTAAAGATTAGTTCTACCTCAGAGTGGGAGAAGGTAAAGGCTGACAGCTGCTGGAAAGATGACAAGAAAATCTTCATTAATGTTATGACATTTAGGCTTCCTCATAGCCTGTCTAGGTCAATTCAGTTGAGTCCCCCATTTTCCACAAGGACTATTTCAGACTTTATCCACCCCTCTTCACATTTATAATGCCCACTCTCCTCCCCATACTCTTAACAGGTGACAGTGCTTTTCAAACAAGTTTTGGAAGAAAAAGAAGCCATCAGACTGGACCTCTATTAATTTCATTTTTTCCTAATATGTAAACCTATTTGTACAAGATAGGTATACCCATCAATGTCCTTTTGTTCCTGTTATACTAAAGGAACTTAAATCTCTATGTGTACTTTGGATCTTATCTCCTTCACCTTCTCAGAAAACTTTGTTATTTCTTCCTCCTCCTCTCTTGTATATTTAACAACTTCTGAACTGATTCCTTCTAGTTGGCTTTTAAATATGTTGTCTCCCACAGAAAATAAAATAAAAAAACCACTTTGATATGGTTTGGCTCTGTGTCCGCACCCAAATCTCATCTTGAATTGTAGTTCCCATAATCCCCATGTGTCATGAGAGGAACCTGGTGGGAGATAATTGAATCATAAAGGCAGTTTCCACCAGACTGTTCTCATGATAGTGAGTGAGTACTCACAAGATGTGATGGTTTTATAAGGGCTTTCCCCCTTCACTTGGCACTAATTCTCTCTCCTGCTGCCCTGCAAAGAGGTGCCTTTCACCATGATTATAAGTTTCCTGAGGCCTCCCCAGCCATGCTGAACTGTGTGTCAATTAAACCTCTTTCCTTTATGAATTACCCAGTTTCAGGCAGTTCTTTACAGCAGTATGAGAACAGACTAATATACATCTCCAGCTACTTCCTGGTCTTCTCCTCTTTATAAGCAAACTTCTTTAGAGTTGTCTGTACTTAAGTATTTTGTTTTCATTTCCTCACCTTCACTCTTTATCTCATTCCAGTCTGGTTTCTGTCCACATCCCTTCATGGAAACGACTTTTACTAAGGTAACCAGTAAACACCATTTTACTAACCCCCCTGCCAAAATATTTCTTACTTGACATCTCAGGAGCACCTGTTACATTGCCCATGTTCTTTTTCTTGAAATACTATTCTCTTGACTTCCATGACACAACACAGTTTTTACTTACACACTAATTGCTTGTTTCTCTTATGGGCTTATTTGCCTCCACCTGGCTACTAAATATTAAGAATCTTAAAGTTCTGTTCTCTTCTCATGCCACATCCTTCATCAGTGATGTCATCTATGCCAAGGACTTCAATTATCACCAGCATGCTATAAAATAAAAATAAAATTCTAAGCTCCCCAACCAATTGAACAGGCCCCTCCTCTCAGCCAAGGGCATTCCTAAGTTAACCTGAAAAACTAGTTCAGGCCATGATGGGAAGAGAAGGTCAGACATGCCTTCTTATACTCTATTCCCTTTGGAATTCAGGCATACTGGCCATCATTTAACATTAAAACAGACTTTAAGGCTGACAAAGCAGACTCTTTACAGCAATAAGATACCAACATGACAGATAGCAGGCCCTAAATGGAAATGGCCTTCAAAGCTGTATCTCCTGATCCAGGAGAGAATTAACTAAGAGTCTGGCACATTTTAAAGTCTGATAAGAACATTTACAATGTATTCTCTCAAGCCTGCAACCTGGAGGACTCATCTGCATAATAAAAACCTTGGTCCCCACAACCCCTTATCTCAACTCAAACATTACCTCCTATTGATTTCAGGTCTTCCTATAAACTCTTTCAACCAATTGCCAATAAGGAAATCTTTGAATCCACCTACTACCTGGAAGTTTTCCACTTCAAGTTGTCCTGCCTTTATGGACTGAATCAGTGTCCATCTTACACGTATTGACTGATGTCTTCTGTCTCCCTAAAACATATAAAACCAAGCTGTAGTCCAGCCACCTTGGGGACACATTCTCAGGACCTCCTGAGGCTGTGTCACAGGCAGGTCCCTAACCTTGGTGAAATAAACTTCTAAATTAATTGAGACTTCTCCCAGATATTTTTTGATTTATAATACCAATGACTCATATCCAACTGCCAATTGATGGCTCCTGTTAAGTGTCTCAAGGCACTTCAATCTCTACGTATCTAAACCCAATTAATATTCTCCAACTCTTACCACTACCCAATAATTCACTTAGCACAGTAGTCTTCTGATGTGAAAAACTATGCATGGTGAAAAACCAGACACATGTTTTAACTAATCTATCTCCTTTATCCCCCCATCTGTCACATAGTCATATCAATTTTATCCCTGAATATCTCAGTTCTGTTTTTTTTCTATTTCCATATCCATAGCCATAGTCCAAGCTGCCATTGTCCCTCATTCCAATAACTGCAGTGTCCTCTGTATTAGTTTTCTACTACCAAGTAACAAATTGCCACAAACTTAGTGGCTTAAAACAACACCAGTGTATTATCTCACAGTTCTGAAAGTTAAAAGTCTTGCATGGAGCATGGCATAGCTAGATTCTCTACTCAGGGCATCACAAAGCTAAAACCAAGTTTTCACATAAACTGAGTTCTTATCAGTAGGCTCTGAAGAAAAATTCATTTGTAAGGTCATCCCTGCTGTTGGACAAATTAAGTTTCTTGCAGCTGTAGGACTGAGATCCCCATTTCCTTGCTGTCTGCCAGCCAGGAATTGCTCTCAGCTCCCAAAGGCTGCCCGCATTCCTTTCCATGTATCTCCCCTCACTCAAGTCATCATTGGTGCAACAAATCCTTCTTGTGCTTCAGATTTCTGACCTCCTCTTCTGTGATCTGCTAAAGTGGGAGTTCAACAATGAGAACATATGGGCACAGGGATGGGAACATCACACACTGGGGCTTGTCAGTGGGTGGAGGGCAAGGGGAGGGATAGCATTAGGAGAAATACCTAACGTAGATGACAGGTTGATGGGTGCAGCAAACCACCATGGCACATATATACCTATGTAACAAACCTGCAAGTTCTGCACATGTATCCCAGAACTTAAAGTATAATTTAAAAAAAAAGAAAAGAAAATTCTCTACTCTTAAGTGGCTCATGTGATTAGGTCAAGTCGGATCCACATAAATTATCTGCCTATGTTTACATTAACAGATTTGCCACCTTAATCTCATCTGCAAATTATTTTCACAGGAGACCTAGATTAATATTTGATTGAACAACTGTGCAAAGGTGTGTGTACACCTGAGAAAAGAAGTGTTGGGGGCCATCTTAAAATTCTGCCTACCACAGTCTCCATGCTTATTCTTATCCCCTACTACAGTTAATTCATGCTTCAGCCCAAGCAATCATCCCACACCCCATCCTAATACTGAACATATTCTCTGACTGTTTTGTTAGTGTATATATTGGACACAATGGAAAGTAAACATCTGAGTATTTGTATAATTTTGATCAAAGAAGCGTAATACAATTTACACATAGTTAGAAGATAATCATTTAGCATAAATGTTATCAGTAAGGAAGAATGATATATCACCCAAATAAAATGGCCCCAAATACTCACATATTAGGCTACTTTTATAATGACATAATAGTTCAATTATCTGAATTATTTAAGCATCTAATTTCAGCATCTAAATTGACAATTCTGGAGGTCACCTTGGGGGACAGTTTGTATAGACAACCCAGTGAAAATTGAATCAAACCCTGGTGGAATAATAATAATAGTAAATCAAACAAAGAAAGGGTTGGAGTTTGGTATAAATATGCAAATTCTAATATGCATATTTAGAACTCTGTTATACTAAAGACCTATTTCTTCTCCCACTGACACAGTTGTCCATGTCAGTGTAAGTAAATTATGTTTTCATATTTTTATTGGTTGAACCACTAACAAACTGGTATGCTACAAATATAGCTTTTTAGAGGAGGAAGTTTGCTTCCTTGGGAGAAAAATGAATTGAAACGGGACGGTTGTGTTGCAGATAGCTAAAAGCTCTACAGAACTGTTCTATCTAATTATTATGATGACCAATGAGGATATAACTATTTAGCATATGAGCTAGAGAAGATATTGTCAAGAGAAGTCATGAAGGTATAGATGTGCAGAGGATGGGAGGAATAGCAAAAAGCTTGGGATACAATGGAACAAAGCATGAAAATTGGGAGGCTAGAAAGCCAGATATAAAGTATATGGTGAAGAATCTTATTTTCCTGAAATACTGCAAAGGGTTTGGTACAGGCTGAAACTCATGGGCAGGAAGGCAATGACTTTAAGAATTTCCTGTCTTCCAGCATCCTATGGCATCCCTGGGGAGAGGATATAGCCAGACACGCCATGTGGCTGTGCTTCAGCAGAGAAACCACACCACCCCCTCCCTGCTTACTTTCAAAATGACTTTCATTTTTTATGGAGCAACCTTGAGCTAGTCTTCATAGGGTTATGGGCTTAAATAAACTGCTTTAGTGTCAAAAAGTCTGAGCTTAAGTGGCAGCTGCTCAAAAGGGTACTAGTAAAGCCAGGTGCCATTCAACTGAAGATATTGTCTGTCTCTCCCATTTAATGTAGGAAGACCTTAATTGGGCAACCCAGAAAAATTATCTGACATTATTTATCCGAGAAATTCTAACTGAATGTCTCTAGGCCGTGCTAACAAGATCGCACTTTGTTCTCCATGGAGGGGGAACCATCGGAGGTTTCCAAACAGGTGACAGACATGATCAGTGTTTAAAAGGATGACTAGCAACAATATGGGGGATAGAGTTGGTAAAAGAATATTCAGAAAAAGGTGGAAAGACCATTAATAAAGCTATAAAATAGACCATGCTATGCAAAGTAGGCAAGTGTTCTGGAAGAAGAGGAATAGATTTCAGCAACATTCTGGATATCTGACAAAACTTTAACTCAATCACCTTGATTTTCATTAAGCTATCACTCAGTCGTTCAATAGGTATCTCATTATACACTGTTTTTGGAATTACATTTAAAGCTTTTTCCTAGGATACTGTCATCATCAAAGACCCCAGTAATCTGAAATTCTTCCACTCTTAATTTCTTAGATATCAGCCTAGCCAAGAAATATGAATACAATAGAGGTTTGGTTTCATATAAAATCAACACCTAACCAAAATATATAAGGTAAAGCATTCTGAAAACTATAAAGTATTGAAAAATGTAACAAATTTCTGATGCCTAATGTTCCCTAGGGGAGATTCAACTCCACTCTCATCTGGTCCCTGGACCTTGCAAATTCTAGGGAATAAGATTAGTCTACTCAGGGTCTGTCGACTTTCATGAGTATCAGGATGGTCTTTGAGATAGCTCAGTATTTTTATTTGAATGATACTCTAATCAGAAATCTTATCTTGTTCACTTCCACTTTCTCAGTAACAAAGATCTTACCACTCTTTCAGATCTATTGGCAGCCTCTCGTGCACCTGGTAGAATTACAGAAACATTTGATTCAATTCAAATAATTTTTACTAAGATTCTATTATCTATGCAGCATGAGAGTAGACACCATAAGATAAGTCAATGCTGAGTAAGCAATTGTTACAATCCTCAAGTAATCCATAATCCAGTAGATGGGATAAACATGTAATCAATTAAAATATATTACTGAAAGTTAAATATATGTTATCAAAAGTACATATAATATGCCATAGCATAGGTGCCCCATAGGGCAGAGCTGGTATCAAATTGTTACTCTATTTTTTCCTATAGTAATTTTCCAAGAAGCCTTGCTAAAACTTGATATCTGGATTTATTTTCAAAGGGATCTTATACTGAAATGAAAGAAATGGAAGTAAACAGCTTAAGGTTAGTTATTCCTAATATTATCAAAAGTCGAAATTTCCAGGTATTTCTATTTAAGAGTAGTTAGACTTTAATTGTACATTGATTGGAAAACTCAGAATGACAAAATCTTTTCTGAACTTAAAAACATTAAAAATTAATTATTTTAATTTTGCTGATCACAGGAGCATTAACATATATTTGAAAAAGTGAAGTCCATACATATGAATCACTTTTAGTCTCCAGAAAATATTTGATATATATAAGAACTTACAGTGTCTTTATAACTGCAACAACTCCATGGGTTCTCAAAGGTTTGAAGTACATAATTTGAGAGTCACTGGGCGAAGTGGCCCACAGCTCAGAAAAAGAATAAGCACAGTTTGGGTCTCCGGGGCATTGAGAAAGAATTAGAAAGTGTGTGGGGAGCTAGACTGGAGCTGAGAAAAATGGTAAGTGTTTTACAATCAGTAGGTCTGAGTAGGTGTCCAATACAATGTTAAAATTAGTGGAGATGCTAGCGATTTTCTATTTATATTAGTGATTCTTCTCTTTGCATGAGAAATCAAAACCAGAGAAGTTAAAATAAGGGTTACCAAGCAATATAACTGAAAGTATGACCCAGGTATCTTAAATCTTAGTACATTGCTTTATCCAATCCATTAAATTAAAGGAAATCTCATTAAAAAGATTTTTTACAGTGCATTTTTTTTCTAATACATATATGAAAATTTTAATTGGTGATTTATTGAATAAGTTAAAGGCAAGTTTTGATGTTGATTGTACAGAAAAGACAAATTATAAAGAATATAAAGCCTATATTGATTGTAATTTATATACAGATAAGTTCGATTTGAAACTTAAAAATACAAATTGAAATATTTTCCTTTCCAAGACTGGGAGCCCAAATAAAAAACAAGCAAATTAAAACTTGTTTTCTTCAATAAGTATTTGTGCTTGTAGCTCATTGATCATTCTAGGTCAGAATAATTATACAGAAGAAGAACTATTGGACAATACAGGACAGGCACTTCATCCTTATTCCCACAATAATTACTTGGCTTCATTTCCTAAAGTCTTAGATGAGGAGTTAGTTTCCTTTCTTTTGCTCTGGCTATCAATGAGATTGTCATTTGCTTCTGTTAAACTCTGATTAAAAGTAATAATCACTTAAGTATGACTATTTAGTATAGATTTGATCAAAGCATCTGTCACTACCAGTAATATAATGTAAAACATGTACTATATGTATATTATATTTATCCTTGATTGTATGTGTGGTTAAAACAAGGAAAGTCCTACTTTGCGTCTCTTTAAGATTACTCATATTCTTTTACAAAAAGGACCGATGCTGCATTTTGTTACCAAGAGGCTTGTGGTTCAATAACTCATGAGGGATAAGGCTTTTGCACCATGCAAAAATGGACATTAGAAATGAGGGCCCTGAATACACAAGTCATGTGTCACAAAAACATTGAGATAAGATCCTCGCTACCTAGTCCATCAGACATTGTAACAGTTTAGTTGAGATTACAAAAATAAATATTTAAGGTATACTAAAGGTAGAAAATAGAAATTGAAACAGGGAAAGAGAAAAAAAGTAACAAAAGTTAAAAATATAATGTAAAGTTAAACCACCAATACATACAACTGAAATAAGAGTTATTAAATTGGAAGCTAAATATTAAATTAGTCACAAAAATAGAAAAGAAGAATTAAGAAATATAGAATATATTTTAAAAACCATTGTAAGTTAATAGGCATTCCGGAGAGACAAAGATGTGAAGAAAAAATACTTGAAAAGAATAACTTAGAATTTCCAGAATTTATAAAAACCACGAGTACTCAGAATCAGCTTCAGAAATCATGAACAGGTTCTGAACAGAATAAATTATAATTAATCTACAATATAGTAAATCTATAATATAGTAAATATTACAATATAGTAAAAAAAAAGAGCACATTATACAGAATGCTAAAGAAGAGAACTTAAAAGCAACCAGAGCTATACTACCTGAAGAAAATAACAGTCAACCTAAAATCCTATATTGACCTAACTTTACCATTCAATGTGACAACAAAATAGTAACATTTTAAGAAAAAAAGTAAGAGATTGTAATAATAATAAATCCTCACTGAAAGAACTACTAGAAGATACAACTCAGAAAAAAACAGATGTAAATTCTAAGGAGGTAAGAACAAAAACGATTATATAAAATAATAAGAAAAATATTTAATAATTTGGGGGTACAAAAAGCAAGTTTAGAAAAGTCGAGACCTAACTTCCAGTACCTATAAAGGATAATTTTCGTTGCACACTAATTTCCCACAGTTAACAATGATAACAATTGTATAATTGAAAAAATATTTAAAGACATTGGAAAATCTCCAAAAGTAGACAGAAGCTGGGGGAACATTTAATCTAAAAAACCTGTAACTGGAAGACATAGAAATTCTGAGTTTGGAAATAGCTGATCTAAAGACATTGCCCAGTGCCAGTGGCTAGAACTATGAAAAATGGCAGTGGGAAAAACATCCACAGCCCTACCATGTAAAAGTTCCAAAAATTAGAGTTCAGATCTGAGAAAAAAGCTGGGAATATAAGGGAGAAGTTGTGGCAGTGCAAGAAACAAAAGAAAAAAAAAAAAGAGTGACCAAAATTCAGAGTATGAACAGCTCAACTCACTGCTGACAACTACATGATAAATGTATGAGGGAGATCCGAGTGAACAAAAAGGAAAGGCTAACAGAGACCACGAGGAAATCTACTCTTGCAAGATAGAGTAATATGGAACCAGATCTGTGAGTTGGATGCTCTTCTTGGCTGAGTGCCAGATCCAAGAACATCAACAAACTCCAAGCAAGATAAAAATAAAAAATAACTCTTCTAGACACATCATACTAAAATTGCTGAAAGTCAAAGATAGACAGAAAATCTGAAAAGCAGCTAGAGAAAAATGGCATGTGATATACAGAATAACAATGATTAAATAACAGATGACTTCTTATCAGAAACTCTGCAAACCAGAAGACAAGAAATGATGTATTTATAAGGCTAAAAGAAAAAAGTTGTCAACTAAGAATTCTACATCCAGTGAAGAAAACTCCAAAGATAAAAGTGAAATGAATAAATTTTTATATAAACAAAAACTGAGAAATTGTATTGTCCAAAGATCTGCACTACAAGAAATGTTAAAGAAAAAAAAACACTCTAGAGGGAAATTTCAATCTACAGAAAGAAATATAAAACAGTAAAAAATGGCAAAGGTGTAAATATATGTAAGTAAAGATATAGACGATTGGACTGACATTAATTACATTAACCTAATTGCCAATTATATCAGCACTACACTCAACAAGTGAAGAAGCATATGTTTTTCAAGTGATCATAAAAGGTACATGAAGATAGAACATAGGATGGAAAATAAATCTTAAAAATTTGAAATGAAATTTTACATAATATGTTATGGAATTTAAAAGGGAATTTAATTACAAATAGCAAAAATAATATGTCTAGAAAAGACCCATATATCTGGGAATTAAACAACTTACATTTAAATAAGTCATGGGCCAAATAAAAAAAAAATCACCAAATAAATATAGAAAATATTTTGAACTAATGATAATAAGCAAAAGACATCAACGTTTTCTGTATACAATTAAAGCAAAATTTAGAAGGAAATTTTAGTTTTTAAGTGCTAATATAGAAAAAGAATCTCTAAAATCAATGATCTAATTGTCTCCATTAGAAACTAGAAAAAGAACAGCTAATTACACTCAAAGCAAACAGAAAGAAGGAAATACTACATATAAAGGCAGAAATCAATGAAAATGGAATCCAAAAACTAACAAATGTAAATCTATGAAACTAAAGTCTGTTTTTTTAAAAGACCAATAAAATAAAAAATCTTTAGTAAGACTGGTCAAAAAAAAAAACATGAATTATCAGTACAAGGCATGCAAAATAAAAATCATTACAGATCTTACAGAAATTGTAAACAGCTTAATGCCATAATTTATAAAACTTAGATTAAATTAACAAATCCATTGAAAGACCCAAATTACCAAAGCTCACTAAAAAATACTGCATAACCTGAATAAATCTCTACCTATAAGAGAATAGATCCATACTTGAAAATCTTCTTACAAAAATCCTTCAGACCCGAATAGCTTCATTGGTTAATTATAGAATATACTTAAGAAAGAAAAACCAATTTTGCATACAATCTACCAGAAACAAGTATCAACTTATTTTATGAGGCTGGCCTTGTTGTGATACCAAAAAACAGGCAAACACATCACAGTAAAAGAGAACTAAAGAACAATATTACTCAAAAATACACATGTGAAAAATAAATATGAGATATAAAGGTTCTTGAGAAAATATACCATCAGACACACAGCCAGTGTATTAGTCAGGGGTCTCTAGAGGGACAGAACTAATAGGATAGATGATTATATGAAGGGGAGTTTATTAAGGAGTATTGACTCACACAATCACAAGGTGAAGTCTCACAGTAGACAGTCTGCAAGCTGAGGAACAAGAAAACCAGTCCGAGACTCGAAACCTCAAAAGTAGGGAAGCCAACAGTGCAGCCTTCAGTCAGTGGCCAAAGACCCAAGAGCCTCTGGCAAACCACTGGTGGAAGTCTAAGAGTCCAAAAGCTGAAGAACCTGGAGTCTGATGTTTGAGGGCAGGAAGCATCCAGCATGGGAGAAAGATGAAAGCCAGAAGACTCAGCAAGTCTGTTCTTTCCAACTTCTGCTGCTTTATTCTAGCTGTGCTGGCAGCACATTAGATGGTGCCCACCCAGATTGAGAGTGGGTCTGCCTCTCCCAGTCCACTGACTCAAATGTTAATCTCCTTTGGCAACACTCAGGAACGATACTTTGCCTCCTTCAATCCAATCAAGTTGACACTCAATATTAACCATCACAGTTAGCTTGGATTAAAAGGATCAGAGAGAATACAACATGACAAAGAAGGTTGCTAGATGTACATTATACTTTTGAAAGGAAGCATGTTGATAAAATTACTCAAGTGTATGCACATATTATCTTTCATGAAAAAAGAAAAGGAAACATGACTAAAGGAGAATGAAACCAAGAGCAGAAAGATCATAGCCAAGACCTATCAGGGCTCAAATGAGAGCTCAGGGACAGAGAAAAGAGCCATAAAAGATTATCCTCAAGCTTTGAAACCTAATCAAGCAATTCAGGTTAGATTCACCCTGGCTAAATTTCAGAATTGCTTTGGACCAGTTATTCCTTTTTACCACCCATTTTTACCTTTTTTGAATTGGAATGCCTATAACTATTAGCCAATGCTTGTTCTGCCCTTGTGTGTAGGAAGTACTGAGGTCATGTAAATCGTCTCTTTAGTTTCACAGATCCATAGGTAAACAGTACTTGTGCCCTAGGAGTTGCACTTAATGAATTATACCCAGGAACATTCTCTGTATGTGATTTTGATGATTTACATGTTGAGAGTCCAAACTCTGAGCTAATGAGATTTAAATAAGAACCTGCATTTGAGCCAATACTGTAATGTGGTACATAAGACCCTGGAAATGCTTGAGAGGGAGAGAATGGGATGTCCATTTGGCAGGGACTTGAACCTTTGAGGGCCAAATAGCAGACTGTGGTAGGAAGAATTCTAAGATAGCCCCCAAGAATTACCATACCCCTCATGCACACCCTGCATCATTCCTGGGACCTTTAAAATGATATATTTTATTTCAGTGGTTAGGATATGTTGTAGGCAGAGTTGACCTTAAGATAAGAAGATAATCCAGGTGGGTCTTACCAAATTGCATGAGCCTTTAAAAGTAGAGAATTTTCCCCAGCTGGTCATAGATGCAATCAGATTTCTAGGATATAAGAAGAATTTGACATGTTATTGCTAGCTTGAAGATTGAGGGGACTATGTATAAAGAAATGAGTGTAGCTTCTAATTGCTGAAACCATCCGCACACTGATAGTCAGCAAGGAAACAAGGATCTCAACCTTACAAATGTAAGGAACAAAATTTTTCTAACAACCTGAAAGAAATCTGAAGCAGATTTTTCTTCAGAGCCTTTCAACAAGAACTTAGTTAATTTCTTACAAAAAGACAAAGAAAATTAAATGAATAATTTAATAATTATTCAATAAATTATAATGTTTCTCTATATTAAACATAAACCTCAACTTTTAACTCACACTACACTCAAGAGGTTAATTTAAAATTGTTAATTAACCTAAATGTAAAGGCTAATACTAAAATACTTTTAGAAGAAAACAAAGAAAAAATGTTCATGGCCTTGGGATGGATAAAGAATTTGTAGGCAGACTATGAAAAGCACAAACCACAAAGAAAAATGACAAACTGGACTTAACCAAAATTAACTTCTGCTCCTGAAAGACACCATTAAGAAAATGAAGAGGCAAGCCACAGACTAGAAGAAAACATTCTCAATACATATATTGAACAAGAACTTGAATCCAGAAGATATAAAGAATTACTTAAACTCAATAGTAAGAAAGCAAACTGGATGCCCAGTTTACCTTGGTGTGATTCTTACACATTGTATACCTGTTACCTAAATATCCCATATACCCCATAAATATATATACGTGTTAAGTACCCACAAAAGTTAAAAATGAAAAAAAATTAAAATAAAACAAAATAAAATTGGACAAAAGATTTAAACTGACACTTTAGAAAGGAAAACATATAACTATCTAAGAAGTACATAAAATATGTTCAATATCATTATTCATCAGGAGTTTGCAAATTAATACTAAAATAAGATACTTCTACTCACTAGCAGAATGGCTGAAAGGAGACACAGGAAATATTTGGGGTAAAGGAAATGTTCTATATTATAATTTTGGTAATTGTTACACAGTATTTTTATATTGGTCAAAACTCATCAACTCTACTTTTAAAATGGATGCATTTACTGTAGATATAATTCAATAATATAAATAAAAATAAAATATAACAAAATAATTAGCATATAACATATATAATAATTTAATATAGTAAAAGAATTAATAAAAGTTAATGAAAAAGGGCATATGGAATTATATTTAGTACAGAGTCAAATATTTAAACACATTTGAGGTTATTAACATGCCTTACCTGGAGTGACAGAAGACAGAAATGGAAGTGATGAAGAAGTAGGAGAAGAGGGAAAATTGTCTATGATACAATTATATGTAAAATTATTAATATGTGTATATGAGTGGGTGAATGCCCAAGAATTGCACTGAAAGATGCAGTGAAATGTTAGTGGCAGTTATTTAGGAATAGTGAAATTACAGGTGATCTTAATTTTAATATATGTTTATGTATCATTAAACTATTTTAATGGAGAGGTGTATTATTTATTTAATGCTGAATAAAATAAAGCTGTTTTCATGTAAGAAAAATACATTTTAAATACACTTGTTTAAAAAAACATACAACAAAGCACACACAAATAAAATAACTTTGATATCAGAAATAACAAGGTAATATTGGAGGATTAGGGTGGTTAAGGTTGGGGGAGAAATATTCTTCAAATCAAAGAAACAAGGTTGTGCAACCAAAGATTAAAAATTAGCAAATAATAGCAACAAAAATTTTTAAAAAGTAAAACCCAATAGCAAATAAGCATAGGGGAACACACTGGTAATAATATAAATGTAAATTAAACCACAATAAAATACCATCTCATTCTCCTAGACTGGCAAATAAAATAAAGTTGAATAATACTAAGTGTCGATGACATTGTGGAATAATACAAACTGTCTTATAAATGAATAGAGGAAGTGTAAATTGAAGAATGACTTGGGGATATCTGATAAATTTGAAGACACTTTTTTTATCTACTGTTAGGGACTCTTTCACACATTGCACAAGAAGACATGTACACAAATGTTCATTGCAGCACTGTTTGTAATAGAAACAGATTGTAAACAACCTAAATGCTCTTCAACTGAAGGATGGATAAATAATTTCCACTACTCTCATCTATATAATAGCTGTATCAACATAGATATATCTCACAAAATTTAAATTAAATGAAAATCAACTTGAAGGAAACAATGAGTATGAGACCATTTATTATAAAACAGACAGGATAAAAACTTTCATGGCAAGCTAAATACCAAATTCTGGAGAATGATTGAAAAAGGATAAATAGAAATGTGATCAGGATGATACATGTAGGGATTTCCAGCAATGATTTCTTCTGAAAAATAACAAGGATCAAAGCAATATGACAAAATGTTATGATCGACAAACCTGAGGGAAGAATGTATGTGGTGATAGATAGATAGATAGATAGATAGATAGATAGATAGATAGATAGATAGATAGATAGATAATAGATGAATGCAGCACAAATTTTTCATAATGTAAAAAAAGGTGAAATGTTATGCAAATATATCTTCCCAACTTCTACTAATAATAATTCTTCAATAGAAATGTATCTAAAATTATCTGTTACATATTGAGTAATAAAGCCTCACCTTATTTTACTGATTTAGGATAATCTATTACTAAGCTGTCAAAGTTCTATTTGGGGTAATTTGTTTGATCAAATTTTCATGAGGACCAGAACTTTTAGACTGGATCTATACCCAAGAATTGATCAAACGGTGGAACCAGTCATGCTAACTCTCTTAAAGATCAATACAGATCACTACAATATTGATTGGTCTACAAGGCCAGATATGGATTGTGACGCTCCAGGAAAGGATTGGCTGTACCTAATTCTATAGCCAGTATAGAAGTGGCCCAGGGAAAGTGAAACAGCAAAAGGCTTCCAATGTATCAGATGAATTAAACTAATTTAGAATTCTACCCTTCAACTTTGCTTTGGTTATCAGTTCTCAACTTTACTTCCTGGAAAGGGGCTCAGAAATGACTACATTATTTCTGAAGATTTCCTGTACCCATTTTCCAAAGAGCTGTTTTCAATATTTTGACAAAACAATAGTGGGGCTAGGGCTCCCCCTATGCCAAATTAAAAGTCAGAATGTAAAATCCAGAGAAGGAAAACTGGTAAACTCAGATTGCTGCATGAGAAGAGACAAGATTGTAATATATTGAAATTTGTTGAAATTTTATAAATTATAATATTATTATCTAATATACATCTTCCTGAAATGTGAAATAATGAATGGATGCCTTTAAATACCATGTGGCATATGAAATGTTGATTTATTTTCATATGATTATGATTCATTACTAGAGTTGGAACCCATCAAAAGCATAACTGTGATATACTAATGGGAAGACTCTGCATTTGTGGGCATTTAAAATGCAGTAGGCAAATGTATTATTCAGGTGTCTTTTATTATCTCTAAGCCAGTTTCCACATTGACACATGGAATTGTGGGATGTAGTCATTGGTAGTCAGCTAAGATGAGTGAAATAATATAATCTGGGTACTCAATGTAGCCGAATTCTGAATATTCAGCAAAGCAAATGACTCTAATCGTCTGCTTACAAGTAATGCCATTGGACTCATGTGGAGTTATATATAATATCTGCTGCTAGATACAAAGTGTTGGAGGAAGCCCTCAGAATTACGAAGGCAAAATTCTATTTGAAAACTTTTTGTTTCTCCTAAGTAAGGGAAAGATGCCGATTATTTCTATAGAACTCTCAGCATCTAAGCCACGACACAGCAGCGTGGGAGAGGTGATCTGATGACGCTTGCCAGGGAAAAGATGTAGATCACATTATTCATGGATACCACCTGCTGGTAGCCATGCGGCGTTGCTACACAGAGAAGGGCACAGAGGGGAAATACACAAAGAAACAGAAAAGCCAGAGTACATGGAATAGAGAAATACAGTATTTAGAAATGAGTGAATGAAAACGAGTAGACTTGAGAGCAAGCTGATGACATCTCATTCTTCCAAGAACTTTGCTAACACATTTCTTATTTTGATTTTGAAATGTCTGTGGTAGTAGTGACATGAAGCAATTAGCTCCACTTTATAAGTTTGAAGCAAATAATAATTGCACATAAATCCAAGCTTTATAAGCAGAAGGGGTACAATTTTGCCCCAACCCGAGCGGAAATTTGGCTTTGTCTGGAGACATTTTTAGTTGTCACAACTGGGGAGGTGCTACTGACATCTAGTGGGTAGAGACCAGGGGTGCTGCTAAACATCCTACAGTGTACAGTACAGCCTTCATCATGAAGTACAGTATGGCCCAAAATGAAAATCGTGTCAAACCTGAGAAATGCTGGCCTAAAGGAAACAATTCAAAGCTAAAAATACACAATACTAAAGTTAAGCTACAACACTTATACCTTCTGGCACTTATTTATTTGATAAAGGGTTATGTAATCCTTACTATATGTTCATTGCTCTTCTAAGAGCTTTAAAAACATTAACACATGTGATTCTCGTAACAGCTCTAAGAGGTCTATATTATTAATAGGCCCATTTTTAAAATGGTGAACAAAGAGGTTAAATAGCTTAGGCAAGATGTCAAAACTAGCAAGTGGAGAAGCTGTAATTTGAACCCAGGAAAACTAGCTCCATGGCTTATTCCATAAACTATGAAACTATACAATTTGCCTTTTAGTATACCTATTCTTTTAATCCAGGGAAATATCCAAAGTAGGATTGACATTTCAATAATTTCCTTGCCCATATTGGTGTCTTCTGCCAGAAATCCAGGAAGTCAACGTATTGCCAATCACTGCTTGCCTTGGTCTCCCTGTTTCAAGTGGCTAGATTAGCGTAGTGGGGAAAAATAAACCTGTTTTGGAATTCAGATGATTTGAGTACAAACTCTACCCTTCCCCTTTAACTCTGTGGTTTTCACCAACTTTTTGAGCTTAAAGTTTCCTTCTTGTAAAAAAGTTATTAGTACTTGTAGACTTGTTACAAGGAATGAAAATAAGGCACGAGGCATGCCTAGCACATAGAAGGCATTAAAAGCCATAATAGCCAATAAAAATGGCCACCATTATTATTATATTTAATAGACTGGAATTTCTTACCAGTATCCAACTGGGTCCACATTTCCTTTTCCTTGTATTTCTCTACCTCACTGCCCACTGAAGTCTGAATAGCTAGCTCTAAAAGATCCTTCCCCTTCCAGTCTGCCCTGGTAAATGAAATTCATTCTTCCATTTATCTGTGAAATGAGTAAGTCACCAGAATAGTATATATAGAAATATATCTTTTTGTGGTTGTGGTTTGGGTCTCTTGAAAAAATATTTTCCTATTCACCTTGTTGCTATGTTGATGCCTTTATCTTATCAGTTCAGATGTAAATTCCTGTCTTCCTGTCTCCTATATTAAGCTTTTATCTAAAGCAAGGCAATTTCCTGGTCTCAGATAGAATAACATTGTAAATGATTTGATTTGTGTTTACAACATCAAATTTAGCTCATTAGATTGCCAGTAGTAGAAGACCAACTCATGTTACCTTGGAAAGAAAAGTGGATTATGTATTAATTCACACCAATGGGAAGTTTGGAAATCCAGTCAGGCTCTGGGGTTTGAAGCATGGCTAGATAGAGGACATTGCCTCTCTGGCCACCTCTCAGAAACCTCTGTCCCCTGCAGCTTTCTTTTTGACTACTTCAGAATAGACAAGATGATCAGTGGTTACCCCAGCAAATCCAAACACCTATGTCACCCTTACTCAGCTCTTCTTTTTTTATACATATCATGGCACCTACAATGGCTAGATTAATAAAGGAAAACCTACAATACAGAGACCAAGATTATGAAGAGGGTCTTTTGTAATGTAGCCCAGGATGGACTAGGAGTCATTCTTTTAACATAAGAGGACACAAGAGAATAACTTCTTAGGGGAACATAAATTTATAAATGCTGTATTACCAGCTCTTTTATTGATCAACATAGTGAATTTATAAATATTCTAGAATAAATTTAAAAATTAATAAAAATCATCTTTTGCAATAATAAAAGAACACTGGTTTTTCAGATTCTCTACTTCAAGATAATGCCATCCTGGGAGCTTCTACTCCTCCCTATTTTACTTTCAAGATCCTACTCTTGTATTCAATAACAGAATTAGAAGTGACTAATCATGACTAACAACACAGGAGAGAAGACTGACTTTTCTAGGGACTGGCAGAAAGAAAGAGTGGGATAAAGAGAGTATGTAACTAAGAATTGAAGCCCCAGGACAAAAACATGAGAAAAAGTAGAATGAGTGAGAGAAACCAGTCATTCATCCATTACCCTGTGGACTATGTGTGTGTTGGAATATAACATTTGAAGCTGAATTCAAAGACTACTTGGACATTCTAAGGATCCCTTGAGTGTGCTTAGCCAAGAGTAAGTAAGATGGTTTTGTGGTGGATTTGACTGTGCTTCCTTCTATAATTAGGGAACATAGAGCTAGGGTGACACATTCATTTGAAAAAGTTTATTGAAAACTTTCTATATGTTAGAATCTGTGTCATCATCTCTAAGAATATACAATTAGTAGAGTATATTCCCTGATAGAAGATAGTGATAAGTTCTGTAACAGTAAAATGAACAAAATTGTATGGGAATAAAGAAAGAGAAGATGAGACAGCAGAGAGAAATGTATTAGTTAAAGATCCTGGACAAGAAGAGAAAGGCAATTGGAAAGGAAAATACATGGGCCCTGTCTTTTAGGAGCTGGGAAACTGGGAAGGAATTAAAGTAAGAACTTAAGCAACTGGAAATAAGAATTTATTATAAACAGATGTTCAATATCTAAGAACAAAGCAGAGGCCTGGGTATTAGAACTATGGAACCAAAGTCAAATCAAATTGACTTGATCTTTAGTGTTCCAGGCAAAGATCTGTATTTCCTGAAATCTCTTTCCTGATAAATTAGGCAGGTCTCAGAACCAAGAGGTCGGGAATGGATTCATAGGAGATGATGGTACCAGATGCAGGAGGAATACAGTTGTAGAGTTACTAAGCAGTCTTTTATGACTGAAGAGTAAATAAATATACACTCATTTGGGTTCTTCTCCTCTGATCCTCTCTATCTAGGATATCAGCAATTTTTAAATATTGGCGCTAGTGAGCATAGGGCTGAAATGAATCAAATTCTTAAACAAATTCCTTTTTTCCTTAGAACATCACTTCTAAAGTGTTTCAATGGAATTAATACAAATGGCAGAGGATATATAGGTGCCCTTTGTTGGTTCTGATGGCCCAGCCCAAAGCAGCTCTTCTTAGCCATGAGAATTTTGTATCCCAGTTATTTATTTATTCACATTTGTCTTGTATCATTATTAAAATGTTTACCCCAAAACATTTTACTAACAGATAATATAAAATGTACAGTTTATTAAGCAGCTTTGGGGCCAAGGAAACTGGCTCAATTTGAAAAGCTCCTTTTTAGAGCAAGAGAAAATCATGATTTGATCTCCAAGGAAGTGGTGCAATGGCTAAAGTTGGATAAAATTACTCCATTATTCTCCCTCTCACCCCTCCTCCTCCACATCCTATGAGCATTCTGACTATTTTTTGGAAATTCATGTCATGTATACATGTCCAATGTAGTGGACATTGATTCCACTGCTTTAAACTGGTTCCTTCTCAACGGGCCTTTGAATCTATCCTGAAAAATTAGAAAACTTTTTCTCTTAGAGTCATTCTGCAAATTTAAAGTATAATTTCCAGTTTTTAAAAAAACAGCTTTCTTATATTTTTTGAAAGACATGCAGTTCTTTTCAGACAAATTTGAGGAAGCTTTTGAGGGAAAAATGTCAAATTTGTTCTTGCCAATTATTAATTCACAGAATTGACTTCCATCTTGTATGCCAGACTATGTAAGGAGGACTGTGATACATACTGGCTAATCAAGGCACCCTGCCTTCAAACTCTGAATACACCATAATGCTTGGCTTTTACTGTCATGTTTATAATCAAGATTCCTTAAAGCCAAAACATGAGAACCATTTTGACAGATGCTGGACTTTGTTGTAAAAAATGTTGAATGGAACATTCTCTCAAGGTGGTCCTACCTTTTGCAAAATCTGTCCTTCACTTTCTTGCCTCTTCCAAATTGGAGACTAAGATATAACAATAGATCCTAAGTAATTCCCATAAATAGAAGTTTTGAACAATTATGAAAATATATTATGCATGTAGCCATACTCTTAGCAGCTTACTGATTTCACTTACTAAATTTGTTTCTCTGAGCAAAGATTCATGGAGTTGGTATAATGGACTCCTTTAATAATGCAATCATTTTATTACAAGCCCTGGTCATGAGAAACACTAGGTCATGGGATTCATAATATGACGAACTTCTCAAGGATAGTCGAGGCATTTCTCTTCTTATATTTGCTTTAGAAATATAGACCCTTCTGTCACAGAGCAATGAAAAGCAAGGATGAAAATTTTAATTTTCATCATTGTACAGTATGCTCCAGTTCCAGATAGAGAATGTCTTCAATTAAGATATTTGCATTGCCAATTGTTTTTCAGTTCTTATTTTCTTAAAGAATTCTGTTAAGCTCAACACAAAATGGAGATGCAGGAGCAGTTGTAGCAGTAGAGGCTGAGGCCAGTTTTAACTCTGAAGTTTTACTTTAGCTATAAGTGTTCTGCCACCTACTCTCTCATTCCAGTGTCAGAAGCATACAGTGATCCTGTGGCCTGGTACCAGATACTCAAGCCTGCTATCATTAAAGTGTTCTCTCATAACTACCTTTGGCATTTTGTATGTTTAATTAAACAACATTTTAAGAGGTATTGTATGAACTGTTAAGGAACTCTGGATTTGTGTCATGTAGGTTTAAGTCTAGCTCTGTCACTTACTACCTATATGCGTTGTTCCAGCAAATTACTAAATAACTTCCCTTCCATTTTTTGGCCTGTAGAGTAAGTATAATAACTTTTTCTACTAATAGAAAATTGTGAGTATAAAATTAGATAATGCTTGTGGAGCATCAGTAATAGCAACTGCCATTTCATAAGAAAATGTTAGTTTTACATAAATACCTTGCATTTCATTGTAATTTATTCTTACTTTTATGTCACTTGAGTCTGGGGGAAATATTTTATTTTCCCCACTAGGTTTGTTTATTCTCTTTAGCTAATATTGACAGTCCATTTTACTTTTTATTAAAATAAGTTAATATGTTTGGCAGAATGACAAAATCGAGAATCGTAACTGCTAAGATTCTTATGAAAGTGTAAAACACATTTAATAGGCAAAGGTCTCTTTATCTCTTTATCCCACACAGATACATCTTTGTTTTTTGTTTTCATTTGCATTTGATTTTGTTATGTTTTAATTAAATAGTACAACTATAAATTGGGATTAATCCAATAACTACAATTTAAATAGCTGTAATTGTCCATTCTTTAGTGATCCTAAGATCTCAGTGGACCTCAATGAGCAGAGTCATTGTGTATTATTGTAGCAGTTGTGCTGTACATTATGTCAAGAGAGTTATTCATATTGTAATCTAAGTGAATGGCACCCCTGGAATAGTGCAATGCACAACGTGTGAAGCTGTACATGACAAGTTTAACACAGCCATAAACATTTATACATCTTCTTGTCCTTCCAACATGGGGATGAAAGTAGTTATGATAGAGAAATCTCATGAACTGAATGTTCTTTTGTATACACCAGAGATATTTTCTTTTCCTGTTTTAAGTTATAAGTAAAACAAAATATTTTATTTTAAAAAATTTTTACAAATACATAATAGTTATACATATTTATGGAGTACATGACGATATCTTGACACAGGCGTATTATGTGTAATGATAAAATCTGGGAAATTGGGATATCATCACCTCAAACATTTATCATACTTGGTGTTGGGAACATTCCAAACCTACTCTTCTAAGTACTTTGAAATATACAATAAATTATTTTTGGCTATAGTTGCCCTATTGTGCTGTGGAGCTTATAATAAGTAGGATGTTTTTAACAGACATTAATTTCTGTGAGAGTCACCTGAGGAGACTCCTAGAAATTACAGTAAAGAGTACCAACCCTCAGAAGCCACTTAAAGGCTTAACCATGTGAATCTCTGAAATGGCCATTTCTCTGATTTATGGAAAAAATACATTGAAGAGTTGCAATTGCTGATGCTTTATTTTCCTTGTACCATGATAAGACTTATGAATACAAGCTTTAGAATTAGATTTTTCCAGCGCTTTTTTATTATGAAAAATAGACACTTTTCAAATAGAAGGAAATGTCAATAAACACATTGATTCAGGTTATTGAGCTTTCAGAAACATGAAATAGGCTGTTCATACAAAGAAATAAGTTTATGTTTGTGAATAACTTCCATTTTTATAGCCATCATACATCCACATATTGTCAATTTGACTTTGTTAATTCTAAAAAATAAAGTTGATCTTTTTTTTTTAATTTTCAAAGGTAGAAATCAGGAAGTTCTTTGAAACTAATGAGAACAAAGATAGACTGTACCAGAAACTCTGGCACACAGCTAAGGCAGTATTATGAGGGAAATTTATAGCACTAAATGCCCACATTAAAAAGATAGAAAAATCTCAAGTTAACAACCTAACATCACATCTAGCTCTCTAAAAATAAAACTGGGGAACCAAAAGCAAACAGCAAGGCCAGCAGAAGACAAGAAACAACCAAAATCAGAGCTGAACCAAAGGAGATGACACAAAAAAACTATTCAAAAGATCAACGAATCCAGGAGCTGTTTTTGTTTTTTGTTTTTTGTTTTTTTGAAAAAATAAATAAATAAAATAGACTACTAGCTAGACTAATAAAGAAAAAAGGGGGATATTACCACTGACCTCACGCTGGTCATTCAACTTCAGAAGTATTGTAGAAGATCAAGGGGATTGTTGAAGTAAAAAATAGTATTTTCTCAGTTACTTACAGCCCTATTACATGGTACAGTAGACTAGAAGTTAGAAGTCAGAAGACCCAGCTCTGGTCTTGGCACTGCCCGTAGATGGCTGTATTTGTTTAAATGAGCCACTTTCTCTTTAAAATAGTTTCTTCCTCTAATAAAATATTCTTTTCTGAACAAAAATATAAGTTTTGCTCACCTCACTCATTTGTTCTATACATAAATGAGATAATGTTTTGGGAGCACCCTATAAATTGTTACATACAATGCCATTACAACGTAAGTTATTATAGAATATGGTTAAGTGCAGCCTCTCATGTCTTTTTCATATAGCTACTTCCTAGCTATATGACCTTGGCCAAATTTTTTAACTGCTCTAACATTTAATTTCCTCCCTGTAAAAGGTTTAAAAAGAGTTTAATAATAGAACTGACTTCCTAGAATTTTTGCTCACTTTATATGAGATAACATTTGTATTGTTTGAGTTTCCTCAAAGGCAGATCTTGAGAGCATTCGAGTGCAAGTAACTTAATGGGAGATAGGGAAGGGAGACACAGAAGGGAAAGAAGCAATAAAAGGTGCATTAACAGGCAAATTACCACTCTGGGTTACTGGAGCATACTTTTGAGGAACTCTAAGAAGTGCCATAGAAATTATATCTCAGGGGTGTGTGTGTGTGTGTGTGTGTGTGTGAAAGAGTGCGTGTGTGTGTGAATGTGTGTGAAAGAGAGAGAGAGTGTGTGTGTGTATATTTGCTCCATTTGGACAACTTCTATTAACCATCTTCAAGTTCATTAATACTCTCATTTCTCTTGTTCAGTCAAATGATCACTGAGTTCTTATTTCTGATATTCAATTTTTCACTTCTAGAATTTCCACCTGATTGTTTTTTATAGTTTAATTTCTCTGCTGAAATCCACCATCTGTTCTCTACTTGTTCTGGTTACCATTGAGGCACAATAAATTACTCACATTCTTAACAGTTGAAAATAGCCATTCTATTGCTCATGATTTTGTGGTAATTCAGGAAAGACTCGCACTTTGTTGTCTTTCATGTCGTTGCAGTAAGATGTAAGCTGGGGCTACAGTCATCTGAAGGCTTAACTCATCTGAATATCAAGTTGTCTCAACCCATAGTAGACCATTGACACTGGCTGTCACCTGGAAACTCAGCTAGGGCTATTGGTCCAAGTATCTACATATGTCCTCTCCAGAATGGCAATCTGAAAGGAGTCAAACTTCTTATCTGACATCTGGCTTCTCTCAGAGGAAACATCCCAATAAGACAAGAAAAAAAGCTGCATGATATCTTTAAATAAAGGCCCAGAAGACATACAGGATCACAGATGAAAGTCATATTAGATTGCAGATAAAAGCCTATCTATATTTAAGGGGAGGTAAAATAAATATCACCTCTCAACAAAGAGTGTCAAGGAATTGGAGGACTATGTTTCCAAATAACCATACCACTTTTAACTTTAAATTATCTAATATATTTATCATAGTTCTTTTAAAGATCTTTTCAGCTAATTCCAACATCTATGTTATCTGTAAGTCTGCTTCCACTAACTCTTTCTTCTCTGAATGTGGGTGACTTATCCGGCATCTTTATATGCTCTGCAATTACCCTGCAAAATGACAAATACTGTGTCTAAAAGGACAGCAGAGAGTAAATTAATGTAGATAAAATTACCCTAGGAAATAACATGCTTCTTCCTCAGACCACTAGATTGGGCTGCTGAGTGAGTATTGCCTAGAGTTGTATACTCTGTCTTGGCTTTATTGAATTTTTAGTTGGATCCAATTCCCCACTGGATTTACTATTTTGATGGTGAGATTAGGTCTTTCCTGAATACGGAAAGATGTCTAAGATCTCTTTCTACCATCCAACTGGCAGCGTTATGGATCAATTTTCTTTGGAGCATTTTCTTTGCTTTCTAACTCTCTACCCTTCTTTGTAGGCCCTAGTTTTCCAAGGTACAAACTTATTTTCCAAGTATAAACTTGGTGAAGGTTGTATCCACCTCAAGGTGATCTCTCTGAGCTCTCCTGCTCCACCCTCAGCCTATAGCAGCTGGCTGCCTTGCACTTAATAAGGGCTCTGTACACCTTGGGGGTATGCCCCTTAACTTTATTTCCCTCTACCTATCCTTTACGAAGTGCTGTTGTGCATTCAGTGAAAATCCCATGAAATAGAATTTTTCGGCTGTGCATACTTGCTTTATGACTAGGATTATCAGGAATCTAATCATTCATTGTCCTCTAGGTATAGCCATTCAAAGTTCATTAAAAAGTTGCAACTTTCTCCTTGCCCCTATCTATTGAAAGGTTTTTCCCTTCTTCCATCATGCCCCATGATGACAGAAGGTATGGGTATCTTCTCTCCTAAAAAGGGCTAATTCCTTTTTGGAATTTAGCTTGCTTGGATTCCTTTACATTGTCAGCTCTTTGAAGAGTTTCTGAGAGACTATAACTTTATAGTAGCTTATATGACCTATTTTTGTTGTTAGGATTGGAGATGATGGTCTTTTTCATTGCTCTATATCAGGAACTGATTTTGAATGAAAAACAGCTCCCTGCTAGTATAGCATGACCTTACTCCACAATGCTAAGATTCTGCAATGAAGTGGTTCTATTGAGGTTCTCTAGAGACTCTATACATTATATAACTTGACAACATATTCCTGGCACAACGCCATGAATGTCTGCTTTTTGTCATCCCAAATGAAGGTGAACTGCTTCTTACCTCCTTTTCTGATGAGAATTGAAAGAAACACTCATGTCATATCAATAGCCTCATGCCATGTGCCAGAAACTATATTATCTGTTCTAGTAAAGATATCACATATGGCACAGAAGTTGTAACTGGAGCTACCAATTTTTAAAATTTTCAGAAGTGCACCATTACCCACCATGGCACATCTTGTTTTTGCAGGGGCAATATCAACATTCTTTAGTTTTTGAATGTAGCCATTCAATCTCTACCATTCTACCTATGATGCCTCTGATGTACTATCTTGCATGGTGCAATGAAGCTTGAGGGGCTTTCTGATGGCCTTTCCCACTATAATGGCTATTATTCCAAAGGTCAAGGAATCTACGTGAGTTCCATTACTGGCTAAATATATCCATCCTTTTAAGCACATAGGTATTAAAGAAATAAGCTCATTAATCCATAGACCCACTGAATCCACTGTCAGCTAGGCTTGACCATATGACTCTATTTTGCACCTGGCTTCAGTACACCTTCATGCTAACAAGAGAGTTATCATACCACTGATGTGTCAGAGATAATCTCCAGACAATGTGAATTGGTTATCTACTTCAGTAAAACAAATTATTCCAAAATATTAGCCATTTTAAACAGCAAACATTTGTTATCTCACATAACTTCTGAGAGTCAGAAATCCAGAAGCAGCTTAATTATTTGATTCTGAATTAGGGCCTCTTTGAGGTTTCAGCCAAAGTGTTGGTTGAGATAGAGTCATTTGAAGTTACGATTGGGGCAGGTAATCTGCTTCCATGGTGGCTGACTCACATGGCTGTTGGTAGGAGGCCACACTTCCTTGCCACGTAGACTTCTCTACAGAGCTACTTGAGCATTTACACAACATGGCAGCTAGCATCCTGTAGAACAAGTGACCCAAGAGAGACAGCAAGGAGTAACCCACCATGTCTGTTAATCCCAAACACAAATTATAATTTCCACCATATTCTATTGATTAGAAACTAGTCACTAAGTCTCAGTGAATTAAAGCAGGGAATTTTTCCTGAAACAGAGGATAACTAATAGTGGTGAACACAGCTAATGATGATTACAGCTCTTAAGAATTAAAGCCTAGCCCTGAAGGAAGCAGGGCCTAGGGGTTTTGCCACAACAATAGATTGGTGAATTAATGACAGACAGTGAGAGTCCTCTGGGGCTGGTTTTGAGGGAAAAGGGGTGATAAAGTGTAAACTTGGAGGTCACAGGGCCTGAGAGGAAAACAGTAGACCTAGGGGTTTCCCTATCCCTTTGTCACCTTTACCAGTGAGTCAAGAAGGCCTGATCCAACACCTATAGATTGATCACCATGCTAGAACTCATTTCATATTTCCCGTATGATTAGCCACATTATCTATTCATATCACCAATTTGTAAGGCCCTTCATCCACAGCTGCCTGCACTTTTCCTATAGAAGAAGCAATGCCTAAAACACTGCCGAGTCTTTTCTGAGATCTCCATGAATGTATCAATTTTCTATCACCAAGGGTGAATCCTTGATACTTGTAAAGGAAGTGATAGTGAGGAAAGGAAGAGCCCCCAGCCATTGTTCTTGGAAAGGATCAGGCAGTGATTAAAAAATTGTCCCTCTTATTCACTACCATTTTGTTTATTGGTTACCCTTCTGTTAACCAAAACTGGTTAATGAAATTATCAATTTCCCCTGTCATGCTAGATATTTGAAAATGTATTAGATTGAAGAAATAAGTGTGTTAAGCTTCTAATAACTCCATTCATTTTTATCAGTACCAGTAGAATATCTTTCAAATGAAATGTGAAGGGAATCTCCAGACCTTCTGTGATCATTAGAGATTTCATTAAACTTCCCATGAGATTGACATTGCTAACCCTACTGCCTTGTTCATTCAAATAAAAGTAATTATATTCCATCTTAGTCACCTTTTTGAATTTATAGCCTCAGAGGGAAAACTATTTTTTTCGACATATGGGGCTATAATTTTATGCATTTTTAGAGAGTTTCTAAGTTTGTCAAACACTTCAAATTTTACATGGAAGTTTTGATTTTTAACCAAGAACCAAAAAAGATGGAAAACATTTTTTTCAATAAACCATCATTAACAGTGTTGCCAAATTACATCAGCATACCTGGCATTGAGTTTCTGAGGGAATAGATGGATGTTACCAGTCTCCACATTCCCATGGAAATAATCAAAATTCAGTGAAATATTGCAAGCTTCTTGGAATATTATTTAAAGACCTGCAATGTCCAGGGAAGATATTCCTCTAATAAAAATAGAATAAACTTTTTAAGACAGAGTAATGGGACCAGGCAGAAAACAGGTGCTTTTTAACCGATTCTACTTCTGGACTTACCTCAGAGTTTTTAGATTTTATCTAAACAAAAATTTTCTACTAAGAGAAAGTTTCTTTCTGAGAAAGTAAAATTCACATCAATCCCAACTCTCCCTGTTATTCTTCACACTATTATTACATTTTTCAATATTATTCATCACATTTAGCAGTGGTATTCTATGTCTTAGTTCATGGTGTATGGCACAGAAGGAAGAGATATTGAAAGTATGGATATTAGATATTAACCACAGAAAGTTTTCCCTCATATGTCATTAAATTCACCTTTTATCTACATTTCCTTAATAAGGCATCTCTTTTCTTTGTGTTTCCTGCAAGCCTTCTGGAGAGTATAACTGTTTAGAAAGGTAATTTGGTGACATGTGTCTAAAATTGGCTCTAGAGCCCCTGCTGAAAGTATTATGAATATTCTTTGCATGGGTCAACATACTTTTCAAAAAGTTAGTAGTGAGAGTGAAAGTATAAGAAGAGAAGATACTGAAAATATATGGTAAACAACATAGCCTTGGCTCCAACCAATCAGAATGGATATTATGACTAATAAGAACACTGTCCACAATTAGCGCATCTTTATCTGTGCCTAATGCAGGACTGTGCAACCTGAAGATGGAGATCACCAGGATAGATTTTAGAATGTAGGAATAATGATGAAAGCATGTGTGTATTTCTTTAAACATAACAGAAAAGTTAGCATAATGTAAAATTTTAAAGTATGGTAACTGATTTTACCATCCTCATTCTCCTGCCCCACCAACACAAAAAAAATGAAAATGAAAACAGAGAAACAATCTTAAGCTATTAATATACATGACTTATTTGAATGTAGAAAAATGTTATATAAATGCTAACATGGAAAATAGAAGCCTTTTTTATTTTTCTTTAAATTTATATTAAAATATTTTATATGCAATGCATACATGAATAAATTCATGCCCCACACTAGTAATCATTTCTCTATCAGATAACAGAATTTGCATAAAGATGAGTTTCATGTGAAAACTGTTTTTGGCATATTGTTAGCAATAGATAATTTGGTGAAGTCTCCAACTGTGCAAAGGAGCCACCCATGATGAAAGGGGCTCATTAATGCCCCCTGACAGTGCATGGGATGCTGAGCAATTCTAAGAAACTGTCCAAATTTCAAAATAAAAAAAAATTAGGGTGACCATGGAGGAAGAAGATGTATTTTGAAGTTATTTCAGAAGGGTAAATGCCTAAGCTTTCTTTTGTGTCCTCAAAATAAAAAGAATTCTATAGAATTTTTAAAGCTTTCATTGCATGAAAACAAGATTGCAAAGGAAAAATGGACAAGACATGAAAATAATCACTCAGTGAACCATTGACAGTTTAAATTCTTGTTTGAGAAAGTAGAAAACATTTTTGACTGTCTGTCACTCCTGGTCACTCTTTAGATGCCTACAAGAGAACGTGTTTTATCTAAAACAAACTTTCTCTTTCTGAGATCCTAAACAACACTTTTGTAACCAATAGGCCTTTAGGAGACTGAGGAGTATGTATTCTGAATAATGCATATTTTCTTTTCCCCTTACTGTTAACTTTGATAACACTCTTTGGTGTATCAAACTCTTTCCAAATAGGAAATTCATATTTACAACTCTCTTGCTACATAGATGTGCTTCTATCCATAAAGATGGCAATTTCCTTGAGTTGAATCATTGAACCTTTTGTAAAGCATAACATTTATGAAATTATATTGTTATACATGACTACTTTTTTCAAGTATTTCTCATCAAAATTCAGTTTAAAAATACTTTTTTTTCCACCATGGCCCAGTAAACATATTCATATGCTTACATATATATGTAATTGAAATGAAGACCTTTACTATGCAATGAAGGCTGATATCCTCTATTCTGACACAGTTGCGTCACTCTTAACCCGCTATATTTTGTGTTTTAATCATAATTGGTTGTCTAGGCCTATCAAATCAATATCACAACCGATTTATAAGTTGTATTTTTCAATTTGGAAAACACTGCTGTAAAGATCTCAAAATATTATTCTCTGATCCAAATGGGAAGAAATTCAAGAAATGGGGCTTTCTCCTAGAGACAATAAATTGTCTACAAACAAACAAACAAACCCTCCTTCCTCTGGAAGACTAAGACAAGTGAGGTAGGAAACTGTTTCAGGCATAAGGATCTGTCTTACTAAATGCGTTTAAACAATCGCTAAAGCTTGATGGTAAAAGGCCAAAATCTCACAACATTGTGGGAAATCTACAGTACTACGTTTGAATTCACCCTGTAGTTCCCCGTTATTGCTTCCAGAGATGGAGTTATGCATTAAATGTGGAAGCACCAAAGGAGGGAGTTGTCTCTTTGTTTGGAATAAGGTCATGAGGGAGAACAAGAGGGCATCTTAAGGACTGTGAGAAGTCAGTGTGAACCTGATATTGCAACATTATTTTCAGCATAGTGATAGTATATCAATGTCAAATAGGGTGCGCATTACGATAGATGGCTAATGAAGGTAAATACCACACAAAATGGTCCCACAGTTCTATAAGCCTACCAGGATATATTTAGTATCTTTATTACAAAAAAAGTGTTGAGGCATTTTCCTAATGCCTAAAATTAGTTAGCATTTATTTCATTTAAATTTGCATTTGCTTTTAAAAAATGTTCTGCAGTTTTCTTAAACCACAAGTTCCCAGGCACACTTCTTCTGTTTTAATCATATACATATATGATTATATATATATATATTCTTTTTAATTACACATTAAAGTGTATGGCCCCTGAAGCTCGTTAAAAGAAAAAACCTACACAGCAGACAATGTTATTGTTCTCTTACTAAACAAAAGGCAACAAAACAGCATGACTAGAAGATTTTTCCTCATTTAAAATATTTTTTCTGGGAAAATATTATTTGTAGGGTCAGTGTAAGAACCTAGTGGCATGCCTTACTCGATAGAGTCCATTATCTGGCATTATTCATTATCTCTGACTATGGATTATATTCTAGTAAAAAGGTGGTAAAGAAATCACTTTTTAGAACCACATTATCTTATTCAGGCTTTTGAAGTGTCTATGCATATTGAAGAGAGAGCTTAGGATCCCCAAAGATTTAATGCACCCATATTAAATAAAGAAGAGAGTCTCTTTTTCCCAGTCAACCTAATATGGGAAGAAGAAAGACCAAGAGACAAGAAAAAAAATTCAATAAACAGGCTACACTAAATTTAATACAAACATGTCCAGTTATTCCAAACAAATACATTTGATACACCTTAAAATTCTAATCTACTGAAAACATTTACACAAACAACGGTCATCTTATTGCATGAAGTTTTATGTTCTCTTTGGC
This sequence comes from Homo sapiens, assembly GCF_000001405.40. Taxonomy (NCBI): domain Eukaryota; kingdom Metazoa; phylum Chordata; class Mammalia; order Primates; family Hominidae; genus Homo; species Homo sapiens. The sequence continues at coordinate 93,607,074 of NC_000007.14, read as the reverse complement.
ACAAAATGGGAAAGTATAAAAAAAAGACATACATAGAGATAGGGTATAAATCTACCCTCATTTCTCAACAAGATGCAAAAAAAAGCTCATTTTGCTGTTTTTAAAAGAATTGTAAAAGACTACCTCAGCTAGAAGTGTGATTTATTTATGACTAAAATTTTATGTTCAATAGAGTATAATTTGGTCAAATCTGCCCACAACACATTTTCAATAATTACTTATTCAACAAGTAACACGATATTTATCTTATATCCTCTTACATTCAAATGTTTATTACATATTTAAATAAAAGCTACTTGATAGTCTAATAATATTGGGTTTGTTTAGGTATGTAAGTATTTCTTCTAGCAACAAATACTTATGTAAAATTAACCTGAATAGGAAAAATATGTATTTGATGTGAATGGAACTCTAAATATATATTCTATTGTAATGTGTGTATGTGTATGCTTATGGTGGCACTATTATTTTTCTTTTTAGCATAAAATAAGCAATATTTATTTAAATATAGCATTAGCAATTCTGATATTGCTGAAGTTAAATCTTCACAATAGTAATATTAAGAGTCTTAAAATTAGCTAGATATTGAAAAAAAACTTAATTACTTTAGTCTTAAAAGAGACTCTACATAATTTCTCACAAAGACACATCATGTCATGTGTGACTTGGTTCCAAATACTATAGGTCTATATTATTAATCTTTGAGTGCTAGACCAAAAATGAGGATTAAAAGCCTTCCAACTGAAAATCTTTATCTTTAATCATTAGCAAATATTTGCATTACAAGCTTGTTAGAAAACCTGAGTTTGCTCTTTGTTGTTACAACAGGTTTTTTTTTTAATTTAACTATGGAATTTCTGCTCACTTTCATAGACTATATAAACCATACTGTTTTAGTGTCATGAGAAGGCATCCACTGAGTGGACAGGAAGCATTAATAAAAATATGTCATTTGCTGGGAGAAAATTTTTGCAAACTATGCATCTGACAAAGGTCTAATATACAACATTTATAAGGAACTTAAACAAATATTCAAGTAAACAACAACCCTATTAAAAAGCAGGGAAAAGGACATGAGTAGACACTTCTCAAAAGATGACATACATATGACCAACAACTATTTGAGAAAAAGCTCAACATCACTGATAATTAGAGAAATGCAAATCAAAACCACAATGAGATACCATCTCACACCAGTCAGAATAGCTATTAATTTAAAAAGTCATAAAGTAACAACTACTGTTGAGGTTGCAGAGAAAAAGGAATGCTTATGCACTGTTGGTGGGAGCGTAAATTAGTTTAACCATTGTGGAAGACAGAAATACCATTTGACCCAGCAATCCTATTACTGAGTATATACTCAAAGGAATATAAATTGTTCTATCATAAAGTCACATGCACACATATGTTCACTGCAGCACTTTTTACAATACCAAACACATTAGGTTGATTAGGAATCAACCTAAATGTCCATCAATGATAGACTGGATAAAGAAAATATGGTACACATATACCATGGAATACTATGCAGCCATAAAAAAATAAAAAGATTATGTCCTTTACAGGAACACGGATGGAGCTGGAGGACATTATCTTTAGCAAACTAATACAGGAACAGAAAACCAAATACCACATGTTCTCACTTATGAGTAGGAGCTAAATGATGAGAACACATGGACACATAGAGGGGAAAAACACACACTGGGGCCCATCAGAGGGTCATATTTCACTGGAATCATTAACATAATATGTCACAGTTGTGGTGAGAATAATCCCTCTGTAGTAATACCAAAATCTATATTAGTTCTGTACAAAATAGCATGGGCTAAACACACACACGCACACACAAAGGCACTCTGTCACTGAGTGAAACTTTTTAGGCAGGGCCAAACAGAATAAGAAGAAATGTTAAAGAGTAAACTTTTGAATTTTAATTCCACTATAAGGAAAAAAGAGTGACCCATTTGTGAGCCAATTAAGAAAAGTAAGTTGCCTTTTTCAGTGGAAATAAACATTTTATTGATAATTAAAGGGGTTTAATTGCATTAATTGGTCTATAGTTTTGTTTTGTTTTGTTTTTTTTCTTGAGACGGAGTCTTGCTCTGTCACCCAGGATGGAGTGCAGTGGCACGATGTCGGCTCACTGCAAGCTACGCCTCCTGGGTTCATGCCATTCTCCTGCCTCAGCCTCCGGAGTAGCTGGGACTACAGGCGCCCGCCACCGCTCCCGGCTAATTTTTTATATTTTTAGTAGAGACGGGGTTTCACTGTGGTCTCGATCTCCTGACCTCGTGATCCGCCCGCCTCGGCCTCCCAAAGTGCTGGGATTACAGGCGTGAGCCACCACGCCCAGCCTAATTGGTCTATAGTTCTATCCATTTCAGTGTATAACACTGTTTGGTGAGTGCAATTGGATAAAAAGAAGGAGGAGTATTTAAGGTAGGGAATAAAAGAGATGGCAAATCATTGACTTGGTGTGGCCTTAGATAGCATTAATTAATGTTTTATCTCGACCGTTTGTGGAAGCTCCTAGTGGGTTTATAAAAGATTTGAGGATGGCACAGCTTTTAAATACATCCACAAATTCTTTGATACCCTTTCTTTCAAGTGGCAATGTTTTATTTCCTGCCTCTTGAGTGTGGGCTGGATTTAACAACTCACTTCTAATGAATAGTGTGTCACAGAAGTGATAGTTATGGCAAACAAGATTAGGACATAAAAGATATTTCGCCCTTCTCCTTGGTCTCTCCTCTTGGATTGCACTCTCCCAAGGAAGCAGCTCCAATGTCATAAGGACACTCAAGGAGCTCCAGAGAGAGGTCCATTGGAAGGACTGAGGCTTCCAGACAACAGCCTTGTGAGTGAGCCATCATGGAAGCAAATTCTCCAATCTAATCAAACCTTCCAACAATTGGAGTACCAGCTGACACCTTATGGACCACCTCATGAGAAACTCAGAACCAGAACCACCCAGAATAGCCATTTCTAGATAATAAACATTTGTTGTTTTAAGTTGCTAAGTTTTAGAGTAATGTGTTACCCTGTAATAGATAGCAAGAACAGAGGAGCTGAACTGCTGGTATCATTAATACCAGATGTACAAAACAGAGTGCTGAAAGTGCCCAAGAAAACCACTCCAGTGGTGCAGGGAGGACTTACTGATGTCTGCAGACATCTTCCCTCAGAAGGAACAGCCTCACCCTTAGCTGATCATAGACCTGACTTAATCAAGAGAAGAGAGAACAAAATTAGTCCAATTTTGGTCTATGGAGAAAGAAACTAAAACTCCTTCCTTCAACTCCTCTCCCTCTTACTATACCTCAAGGAGGAACAAGAATCTGGTGAAAAACATTCTAACACCAAGGAAGAGCATACACTACATTAAATTTCTTGGGGAGGAGCTATGGGTTAACAAGTCTGGTCACATTTAGCAACTCTCATGAAGCCTAGATGGTAAAGACTCTGAGGTTCCCACTATAAAGTAAGTCTATATGATCTTCTTTTTTCCTACCTTTTTCCTCTTCTATCCACAAGTCTGCTAGAAAAGCCCAGAATTTGTTTTCTCAAAAAAACACTGGCTGTTTCTTTCTCTCTTCTCTTCTCCTTCCTGGGAGCTAGGACTAGACTTTTGGAGCATACAACTTAATACAGTTCCATTTTGGGCAATAGAGGCAAATTATCTCTCTCTCTCTCTCTCTCTCATAGATAGTTAGACAGATCTGTATCTATATCTGTATCTTTATCTCTTTCTGATAGATGTAGATAGATACAGATAAATAGATCTGTATCTTTATCTCTCTATCTCTCTCCTTCTTTTACTACTTTTTCTCAAACATTAGCACAGGTGTCGCCATCCCGCCATCCATGGTTTAGATTCTAGATTCACATAGGGGTCTTGAAGGGAAGTAGCCTACCATATACACAGAAAAAGAGCCTTTCCTTGAAGATCAGCCTACCTGTTAGAGCTTTATACTGGGTTCCAGAGTAAAAATTCAATCCCAAAATGAAATGTACTTTGCCTTCTTTGTGCTTCTTCGTGTGTGTGTGTGCATGTGTGTGTGTATGTGTATGTGTATGTGTGTGTGTATGTCTTTGGAGCTTTCAGGAAAAGAAGGCAACTGGGCTAAAACAGTGTTCAGATGTTTGTTCTAAGTGTCCACTGTTTATTTGTTGTTGTGCTTTTTAATACTCAATTATTATGGGAATTGTCTGCTTGTGTTAATTGGTTAACAAAGTTATTAAATAGATACAATGGCATCAGCCTAGGCTATCTGATTGTCAAATTGTCAGTCAAGCCATGCTCTGTAAAATGCGAGGAAATGCAAAATTATTCCAAGCAATAATTGGGTACTGTAATAGCAGGCAAAATTCCATAGTATCAGGCTCAAAATAAGGCACATTGGAAGTATCAATTTAACATCCTTTGCCCTGGTTTTGTAGCTTCTGTACCAAACTCCTGTTATTTGAGAAGGCAGTTTTGCCTGAGTATGAACTGTGGAATTGGATCATAGCTGATATACTGTGAAATAATTTAACCACCATGAGAAGGAAGAACAAAAAATTTCCAAGAGTTATCATTGTCATGACAGATTAACAAATTCCGTTTGGTGTGAAAAGAACCTTACAAAGCAAAACTTTAGTTAGTCTAAGTAAGTGAATATTATATATTAAAAACATGCATTGAGTTCTGGTATACACCAAATTTATCATATGATTATCTTAATTTTTCTTAAAAACACCTGTCAGGGCAGTGCTATTATCATCTCTATTTTACAGATAGGGAAACTGAGGCTTAAGGAATTTAAATGTGTTGTTCATGATCATACAAAGAGTCAGGAGGCAAACACAGGTAGGCTGGCCTCACAATGTCCTTTTATAACCACCTCACTGTAGTAACCCTAACAGGAAAGGACCCTGAAAATAGTGAAGTATTATTAAATACCATCATATTCTGATACAGGATTATGAGCTCTCACTCATATAAACATGTGAACCCTGATTATTGCAAAGGCGAAAAATGAAAAATGTTTACCTATTATGTCTTTTCCTGGCTATCACTGTCAGCCTAGTAATATTATAGTTTCTATCTTTCTTCATATCCCCTTTCTTTCTCTTCCTTTATTACTTCTGTCTCTCTCTCTCTCTCTCATTTGAATATCACAGGAATTTCCAATTCTATCTCTCCAACTCATATCTGGATATCTAGAAGATATTCTTTGTATAGCTCAAAATTGCCACCTTCTTCCATACTCTAAACACAGCCTAATCAGTCCCAGGTCACTGTACCAAACAGTGCCCAGCATCCTAAAGAAAAATCTATGTGCTGCTCCCTCACTGTTGCCCAGTGAAGCCATTGTAAAATGTTCTTCTGTTACCTGCATCATTGAACAGATGGCTTTCCTATCCACTTCAACTCTCCTGATGCTATATCCACAGAGAGCACTGCTCTGAGCCCTCAGCTTTGTACAGGAATATTAGCGACACCTGCTGTTTGACTCTGTATTATCTGCCCCTCACTTTAGAACTCTGGCATTGAGCCTAAGGGAGCTGAGCTGGACAATCTGAGTATCAGTTTACCATGACTAAATGAAAGTGTGCTCTCCTCATGACATAAATAAAATGTCATGAAGACATTTCTACCCCCAGGCCTTTTGCTAACCAGGGTTAGTTGAGCAGGACTAGCTGTCAGCCCCAAGACCTGCCCTTGTTTTCTCTCCGTCGGGTTCCAATGGCTCCTCATAAAAATGGCTCCTGGCAGCTCCGCTAGTCAACCTTCAAAACAGGACCAGATGAATCTGAATCTACAAGACACAGGGTTTGGGCATCATTTTAGCATTCTGTATACATTGTCAGAAACCCATCATCACTTAGCATTAGGATATCCAACATATTAAAACCTACTCAAACAAGTATCAATTTTTTTTTTTTATTTTTTTTTGAGATGGAGTCTTGCTCTTGTTGCCCAGGCTGGAGTACAATGGCATGATCTCGGCTCACTGCAACCTCTGCCTCCCAAGTTCAAGCAGTTCTCCTGCCTCACCATTCCAAGTAGCTGGGATTACAGGCGCCTGCCACCACGCCCAGCTAATTTTTGTATTTTTAGTAGAGACGGGGTTTTGCCATGTTGGCCAGGCTGGTCTCGAACTCCTGACCTCAGGTGATCCACCTGCCTCAGCCTCCCAAAGTGCTGGGATTACAGGCATGAGCCACTGTGCCCGGCCTAAGTATCAATTTTTGAAATGCATGCTCTAGCTGGAGCTTAAATAGTTTGTGAAAACATTGGTAAGTACTTTATTTATGATTAAACTAGAAACTCAACAATTCTATGTAACTTACAATCCTTAGATTTTGGAAAACTTCCAATTTCAATGTACAATCAATATGTTATAAAAATATATTTCAATATATCTGTTTGTCAATTGAGGTATAAAAGCATGTCTAATAATAGAGGCAGCATTGATAAGGTCCTGATAAGTTCTTGGTTCAGAAAAAAAAAAGCCACTAGAATAAACTTTTGTTACGAAAATTAAGATAACAATTAGGCTTAATTTTTCAGGGCAAGTTCTTGTGACAATACTGTAAAATAACCTTTTGTGAATCAATCCAGGCTGTCTTTTCTGACATCCATTGTATGTAAAGCTCATCATGGGAAGAATGGACAAAAAGCCTAAGAAACCTAACACCTTTCGGGAAAAAACTTGAGAGCCTAACCTCTGCTTTCCAAAGCTCTAAATTAAGGAAACATTGTAGAACAGACTGATTTGCACTCTCTAAGGTCTACTGGCAGAAGTGGATTCTAAGATTGGAACCATGATATCTTGATACCAGTGTCATGTCTTGATCTACCAACTTAGATATGCCCCTAGGTACAAGCATGCACATTGCAATGAGATGTAACAATAGCAAGTTCCTTCATACATCATTTGTGAAGACCCCACTCTGTTTCCAGAAAATCTCCCAGAGAGTCATTACATAGACATTGTACCTGCTCTGAAGACAATTATAGTGATAGTTGGGATAGGGTAATATTGGACAACTAAATTTTCATGTGGTATCCTGGTTAATTTTCTCAGCAACCCAATGAAGTAGACATGTTCTTTATAATTTTCCAGATGAGGAAAACTAGGCTGAAAGAAATTAATCTACTTATCTGTAGTCACAGGAGTAAATGATAAAGCTGAGATTTGGACCTAGATCTGCCTGATACTAAATTTCATACTTCTCCAGAGTTTGAGATGTTGGAAATGAGATCACAAATTCTAAAACACATTCAGGTGAATACAAACCTCTGTAGAGTGAAGACTGAGAACTTTGGAACTGAAGAGATAAGAAATTGACAATAGCAGGAGATTAGGAAATAGATAATGAAAATCCAGAGGATAAAGGCCGCAGTTGTCATGTAAGTCAGCAGAGGTGGGTCAAGTACTAGTTATTAAAAGCACAGGGATCAGGGATGGGTCTGTGTGAAAGAAGGTGGAGTATGTAATCAGGAAAAATTAATTAGGTTGGGAGGAGGGTGAAAAGTGAAGAATTACCTATTGGGTACAATGTCCACTATTCAGGCAATGGGTACAATAAAGCCCAGACTTCATCACTACACAATGTATCATGTAATAAAATTGCACTTTTACCCCCTAAATCTATTTTAAAAATTAAAAATTTTAAAAAGAAAAAATCAATACAGGCAGTCAGGCTTAGCAGATGGTTTCATAAGTTAATAGTGAGATTTGAAAGAGGAATTAATTTTCTCAACGTCTGACATCAAAAGAGAGATTTCTCACCACGTGACATTTAATAAATGCCCTATTTTCTGAATTAAATGGCCTTATAGATTATACTACACTGAGTTTCTGCCATTGGGAAACCAGAATCTATATTATTTTATAAATTTAAATCTAAAAGGATGAGTTGGAAAAGAGAATGTTATAAATTTCCATCACTGGGCTTAGATATTAACCTAGTAAGTTTAAAATATTTTATATTAAAACAACATTGTGACATTGTACTGACTGTAATAGGATAACTTACTGTCTTCCCCCAAATCCATTCTCTTCATTCACCATCATAACAAAACTCAATTTTATTTGGGTGAGGGATGCTAGCTAAAAGACTACATTTCGCAGATTTTCTTGTGTAAAGGCACAGCTTCAGTCAATGAGATGTGAACAGAAGATTTGTGTAAGAGTTCTAAGAAAGGATAGGTTGCCTTTGAAAACTCTAAAGATGGTAGAGCAGCAAGATAAAGGGAGATGGCATCTCTGATAACCCTGGAGCCATCAACACCAAAGACTGCCTACCTCTGGACTTCCCTAGGAGTGAGTGAAGACTTTCCTTGTGTGTTAACACATTACTTGGGTTTTCCCATTTTATTTGGTCAAATCTGATCCTACCTCTAGGAGTGAGTGAAGACTTTCCTTGTGTGTTAACTTTTTACTTTGGGTTTTCCCATTTTATTTAGTCAAATCTGATCCTAACCAATACAGGACTATTTGGATTGAATGATCATTGCCTTAGGATGTTGTTAAATGCTAGATATTCTTAAATTAAAATAGATGTAAATGTATCTATTTATCAAATAAATAATTCAAATAATTAAAAATTTATACATGAAGTTTTAGCTAAGTTAGGTCCATAAGTATCAAATATGATAATTATTTGAACACTGATTTAGGAGGAATTAGTCAGAGTTAGATGGTAACAGGTAAAAATTGTCGAATTTTTCCCACATTTCTAGTATTTCACAGAAAGTAGGCAACTAAGACAACAAAGTTGTTGAACCATTTCCATACATAATTAATGTCCTATAATAAAAAGGAAAATGTTAAAATGCAACAGAAATGCAGGAATTGATTTTAATCTCCCATTTCACTGAAATATATATACTTTTCTACTGTTATATTGTTAAAGAAAATGTGCTATTTAAAAGTAACATGATTCTTATGATACTCTGTTACACATAAAATTAGTAATAAAAGAAATAACAGATTGTGGAAGGGTCATGCTAGAAGGTCTTCCCAAAAGTTTGCTATAATTTGGCTTCCTTAACTACCTGGGTAACTATAGGCCAATAAAAGCCATTGGGAAATTAATCACAGGATTGGGGGTTTCCAGAAGTAAGGAAAGAAAGGAAGGGCCATGAAACAGTACTAAGTAGGGCACAATGCATCCTTTAAAAATCTTCTTGTTAATTGGAAAATTTTTAGAAAAATAATAATTAATGAGAGATAAAATGTCAATAATCAAGCCAAATTTCTGTCAGGGAATGAAAAGAAAAACTTCAAATAGCAATTTTCTTGCTTCAAAAAGGAAAATACGTTTAAGGTATCACACCAATCAGAAAGTTTTACATATATGCTCATTTTATCTTGTTTTATGCTTTATTATTGAATAATTTACCTAACTCCACAGCCTCAGTCATCACTTATTTACAAATGAATCACAAATGTCCATCTCTTGGCCTCACTTCTGCCCTGAATTCTAGACCTGAATGCTATTATCCTCACATGAATGTCAAATCAGCATGAATAACCCAAAGACATCAAACATGAAAAATAAATACCTGTATCTTCCCCTTACCTGTTCCTAATTCACATGCTCTCTACCTTGGTAATGTCAATACCCATTTTCTCTCTCTCTCTCTCTCTCTCTCTCTCTCTCTCTCTCTCTCTCTCTCTCTGTCTCTCTCTCTCTCTGTGTATGTGTGTGTGTGTGTGTGTGTTTGTGTGTGTGTGTGTGTATGTGTCTCTCTTTCTGTCTTTCTCCTGGTCATCACCAAATGGATTTACTTCTGCAAGTTTCCTTTTATGTATACCATCTTTTTCATTGTCTTTGCTAATGATTTAAATCAGCCATCCTGACTCCCGTCTCTCACCCTGACCATTGGATATCCTTGTAAAGGTCTTCACCCTTTTCATCCTTCCCTTTTACTTCCCCTTCAACTGATGATGATCTGTTTTCAAAAACCCAGATCTGACCATACTTAACTTCTTCCTTAAAAGCCTTCGATGAAAATCTGTCCCTAACCACCTTTATATTTTCACCTCTGGTCATTTATTTCCCATAAACTTGCATTCTGGCAAGATGAAGAAATTCACATTTCTTCAAACAAGGTATGCACTTTGTGCCTGGATGACTTTCCTTGTGCTCTTTCCTCTGTATGAGATGCCTTCTCTACTTCCCTCTCTGCCTGTTTATGTTATCTATATGTGTATATCTGTGGTACCATCTGTGTCCTTCCTATCAGAATGAATTCTCTCTCTCCTTGGTACTCTTAAAGCATTTGTAGCACACCTCTATTAAAACATTTATCTACTGTATGGTACTTACATTTCTAATCCTCATTCTACCACTAGTCTGTTAGTTCCCAGAGAGACCATATTTTACCCATTTTTATATCTTCAGTATATAACACGCCGCCTTGTACAAAGTAAGTGCTTGCTTTTTGAGAATTGATGTAAAATGTACTGTCATGTTATCCAAATAAAGGTTGTTTCTTGTTTTATACATTTTTTCCTTTTCCTTAAAAAATTATCCATTGCTTTAGTTTTATTCTCAAAAGATAATGACTTAAAATGAGTAGGAAATCAAACTTGGAAGATATTCCCACTAGTGTTTACACAACACATTTTAAGTGCACCATAATGCTTAATAATCACCCTAATTATTTATTAAAATTTAATTTTTTTCCAGTTAATTAAACTTGCATTTGGTAAAGCTGTCCAATTTTTGGCAGATGAGCAGCTTTCTTATGATTATGTATGTTGCTCAAGGCTGACTGGATACAATTTTACAGCACTAACGGTTTTGAAATTTCTCTTCTTACTTAAATACATGGCAACATTACTTCTTTAATATAGAAAGGTTCAATCTATTGTAAGATAATCTATTGTCTCTAAGGAGCAAATCTTAAATAATTGAGAGTTGTTATTTTTTCTTATATATCTACATGCTTATAGGTTACAAGTACCCATTTAAAAAAACTTAAATATTAAACGAGTCTATATAATGGCTTTTGGTCTTCCTAAATACTTTATCCTACTATGAGTAAATGATCTAGATTTTATGCCAACAAAAAATAGAGAGCTCTTAGTACTTCAAACCTTCCCATCTCAGAAATGTACTAATTCTAACACAGTCTGTTACTTTTCTAGGAGACATTTGCCTTCTTTTCTGGTTTTGTATGCAGGTGCTCTTTTTGTAGTACACAAGCAGAGGTGTAAAATGTGTAGCACACATTTTACAGATGTGAAGTCTCAGGAACTGCTGATACGATTCTGGAGGTTCAATCACAAAAAATATCACACTCCAGGCACATGTATACATATGTAGCAAATCTGCATGTTGTGCACACGTACCCTAGAACTTAAAGTATAATAAAATACATATATATATATATATATATCACACTCCAATGGGAGTCAACCTTCTCCACACACCATTCTGTAAGGAGCTTCCTCTGGACATCCAAACTGGAATGGCCTTGAAACTTAACTACAGTTCTTTTTTTGTTTTTAAAGGAACCATAATCATCTCTCTTTTAAACTTTTTTAAATTATTTAATTATAGAAGTTTTAAACATACCGAAGAAATACAGAAATAACAGACTTCCACATGCCCCATCACCAATATTTAACAGGTGCTAATATTTTGCCACAATTTACTTCGGAATTTTTTAAGAAATAAATCTGTATTATTTTAAGTCTCACTCCCCATCCTTTCTTCCTCTTATCCGAGTAATAATATACAAAATAGTATTAAATCTTATTTTTTGATGCATCCAAATGTAATACTAATTTATAGAAATCATTTTTTTCAAACTAGAAACCTGACAGTTACAAAAAAATGGATTAATTCAAAATTTGTGAAACCATATTCTCAATTCCAGAGCATGAGTTGGCAAACTTTTTCTGTAAAAGATGAGATAGCGAATATTTGAGGTCTTTGTTGCAACTACTCAATGCTGCTTTCACACTACGAAAGCAATGAGAAATTGCTTTCCTGCTGCTGGAAATGTGGTTTCAGTCACTGGAACTCTATCTTTTTTCATGAGGATACGGGCCTCACCCAAAAAATGGAGGAGCAGTGAGCTGGAAGGAGTACAGGTCTTCAGGGACTCAGTAGAGATAGACCCTATTAGCCATATTATCTCTCAAATATCTACCTCCATCAACTTTTTGAAAAGAGAAATAAACTTCCATATTATTAAACTACGAGGGGCTTTTTAGTTCCTCTGTTACTGTCAGTCATACCTAATTCATACTGACATAACTCTTAGGCCTCAGTAGGCAATAGGCAAACACTCAGGTCCACCCAACATTAATATTCTGGTCTAGTAGAATCTCCTCCCTCCTCATCCACGTTCTGCATTGCTCACTTGTGTTCATCATGGGACCTTCTGGGGAATTAACTATTATTTACTTTCATTAGGAAGGTTATACAAAATGTAAAGAAGTATCAATCTTCTGTCTACAACTGTTCAAAGTATAAACCTAAAATACTATACAGAGACTTTATCCCGTGCATTCCCCTAATTCTAGTTGAAAAGTTCAATGTGCTTTGTTCTAAATGCTGATGCCTATTACCCTGGAGAATGGATTCTCTTTAGCTATACTGCCAAATGTTGTCTCTACACAGGTGCCACCACAATAGCAGTTTCAGTTGTTATTTGTGCTGCTATAGTTGCAGCTAGAAGTAAACAGATTTCAGACTGGGAAATATCTGAAAAGAGTTAACCCAATGCATGGAAACCAAGTATTCTATATTTCTTTGAACTTCTTACCTTATATGCCCTTAGATATAACATCTTGGGTTTGAAGTAATTCATTTCACACTGTTTTTATGTATAGCACTTTTATTAATTAGATTCTAGATGATTAATAGAAAAGGTAAGTTGTAAAAGAAATTACAATCTCAATTTAAATATTATTTAAAATAAGAGAAAGAGAAGCAGATACAATTAATATTTCCAACATGACAAAATTACCAGGAACAGCCAGAATGTTAATGTTGCTTATCTCTAAGTTTTGAGTGATTTCTTTCTTTCTTTTTATTTTCTAAATATTCTACAACAAACACTTATTACTTTTGAAAACAGAAAAAAAATGTATAACTCAAGTTCCTGAAACACTTGATTGAATAAAGAAAACACATATGAGAATAAAAAATATTAGGAAAATCGACATGGTGTTGAAATTAAGAGCAAATAATAGACCAAAAGTTCTTATTTATCTGTGCTCACAGAAGCCAACAAAGGTATAGCTATCCCAAAGAGCAAATGACCCAATGATCCATTTTGCTTTGGTTGGTTTTGAAACACCTGTGTAATTAACCTTCCAGTCATTTCCTCTCTGAACCTTTAAACCTCATTTGCCTCCTCTGTAAAATTGTACCCATCCCTTAGAGCTGCCGAGAAGACTGAAAATTGGTGTGAAAGCACCTCAATTTCAATTTCTAGCAGATGAATAATCAGTTCATATTATTGTAATAGCAGATGTTCAATCAATTCATGAAATTCTATGTGAGTGCACATTTGTGGGCATCAATATTGTGTAGAAAACAAAGATAAATGAGAAAGCCACCCTGCATGTAAGGACCTCACAATTGAGTTTGAGTGATAAGACACATATTCAAATAGTTATAATGCAATGTTCCTCGTAAGAGAGAAACAAAGAACAAGAATGTTCAGAGGCAAGATAGAAAGGTTTTACAAGGCAGAATAGTCTAGTGTAAAAATGTAAAGAAACATTCTGTTACAGGAAGTGAAAATTCTGAATTCCAGAGTTGGCTGTCCCACCAACTATGTGACCTAGGACAGGTTTACAAACCTTCTCTGAGTTTCAGATTTATCATTTTTCCAATTAAGAGGATTTTCTCAGATATCTAAGATAACTTCTGCTTTTATAACAAACACTGACATAATACTTGGTACATGAACTGTTCTAACTTCTTCACAGGTACAGCTATAGATAAAGATTGAATGTATATATGTGTGTGTGCACACGTGTTTACATGTGTATAGCATCTATTATAAGAATCTGTGTATATTTATTCCTCATATCAACTCTATCATACAAATACAATTATTATCATTTCTAACTTTTAGCCAAGAAATTGAAGCACACAGAGATAAAGTTCTCCAAAATATCACAACTAGAATTCAAACCCAAGCAGTCAGTACTATTTGATTGGACCCTTAAAAGATGTTAAGTATTTTACAGAACAAATAGAGGAAGGAGTGCTTTCCAGAATGGAAGCTCACCATGAGCAAAGGCACAGAAGTAGGTGAGCAAGAGAGCTCTAAAGAGACAGCACATGATCCTGGAAAGAGTAAACTCTAAATACTGGAGTTGGAATCCTTATTTATTTTGTGACTGTAATAAAATTACTTAAGTACTCTAAGCTTTAATTGTCTATAAAGTAAGGATAACAACATGATCCTTGCTAGGTTGAAAACCAAATAAGACACTGCATGAAAATGCTAAACACAGCATCTAGCACATGGTAGGTACCTCATAAATTAAAGTTATTTCTACTTATGGGGGAAAAGCCTAGTTTGGCCAAAACATAAGTTAGGATAAAGAGAAAACTGGGCAGAAACTAGCTACAGGGATTGTCAGAATACATCTTGGGAAGGTCTTGAATGTCTAGCCAGCAAGTCTGGATTTTCTATGGAGTCACTGAAAGTTTTCAAGGAGGGGATTTTACATGGCTTTTTTGAATTTCTTGAGCACTCACTTGGTGAGCAGGAGGAAGATGGAACTGTGGGAGGATCACAGGCAATATAAAAATGTAGGGAAAGTCACCCACATTCATTTACAAAGACACTGTCTCTGACCTCCCAGTTTATGGGATTGCTGAAATTTCTGGATAGAAAAAAAATACATTATTAAATTCTAGAAGTATCAATTTCTAAAAGGCTGAAATTACATAAAGAAATCTTAAAATAGGATAGTGATTGAACTGCCTTTATTCATTTTACCATCAAAGGTCAATATGAAATCTATGACTTCTCATTCTGAGCAAATGAGAATGTGTCCAGAAAAAAAGAAAGCATAAACTAAATCAAAAGAAAAACATCCAAATCCACACTTGTTGGACACTTACAAGTTAAGAATGATGAGTCATAGAAGGCCCAATCCACGAGAGAAATGAGCAGTCTGGTTTATGGGAAGAATCCAATGCAAGAAGGCATTTACATGTAGCTAAATCACTGATCTTGAGAGGTCAAGGAAGATAGAAACCTTATTTAATGACAAGGTAACAAAAACAGAAATAATACTTTTTAAATGATTTTTAAAATCTTACTTGTGGAGGAGCCAAGATGGCCGAATAGGAACAGCTCCGGTCTACAGCTCCCAGCGCGAGCGACGCAGAAGACGGTGATTTCTGCATTTCCATCTGAGGTACCGGGTTCATCTCACTAGGGAGTGCCAGACAGTGGGCGCAGGTCAGTGGGTGCGCGCACCGTGCGCGAGCCGAAGCAGGGTGAGGCATTGCCTCACTCGGGAAGCGCAAGGGGTCAGGGAGTTCCCTTTCTGAGTCAAAGAAAGGGGTGACGGACGGCACCTGGAAAATCGGGTCACTCCCACCCGCATACTGCGCTTTTCCGACAGGCTTGAAAAACGGCGCACCACGAGATTATATCCCACACCTGGCTCGGAGGGTCCTACGCCCACGGAGTCTGGCTGATTGCTAGCACAGCAGTCTGAGATCAAACTGCAAGGCGGCAGCAAGGCTGGGGGAGGGGCGCCCGCCATTGCCCAGGCTTGCTTAGGTAAACAAAGCAGCCGGGAAGCTCCAACTGGGTGGAGCCCACCACAGCTCAAGGAGGCCTGCCTGCCTCTGTAGGCTCCACCTCTGGGGGCAGGGCACAGACAAACAAAAAGACGGCAGTAACCTCTGCAGACTTAAATGTCCCTGTCTGACAGCTTTGAAGAGAGCAGTGTTTCTCCCAGCAGGCAGCTGGACATCTGAGAACAGGCAGACTGCCTCCTCAAGTGGGTCCCAGACCCCTGATCCCCAAGCAGCCTAACTGGGAGGCACCCCCCAGCAGGGGCACACTGACACCTCACACGGCAGGGTATTCCAACAGACCTGCAGCTGAGGGTCCTGTCTGTTAGAAGGAAAACTAACAAACAGAAAGGACATCCACACCAAAAACCCATCTCTACATCACCATCATCAAAGACCAAAAGTAGATAAAACCACAAAGATGGGGAAAAAACAGAACAGAAAAACTGGAAACTCTAAAAAGCAGAGCGCCTCTCCTCCTCCAAAGGAACGCAGTTCCTCACCAGCAACGGAACAAAGCTGGATGGAGCATGACTTTGACGAGCTGAGAGAAGAAGGCTTCAGACGATCAAATTACTCTGAGCTATGGGAGGACATTCAAACAAAAGTCAAAGAAGTTGAAAACTTTGAAAAAAATTTAGAAGAATGTATAACTAGAATAACCAATACAGAGAAGTGCTTAAAGGAGCTGATGGAGCTGAAAACCAAGGCTCGAGAACTACGTGAAGAATGCAGAAGCCTCAGGAGCCGATGCGATCAACTGGAAGAAAGGGTATCACCGATGGAAGATGAAATGAATGAAATGAAGGGAGAAGGGAAGTTTAGAGAAAAAAGAATAAAAAGAAATGAGCAAAGCCTCCAAGAAATATGGGACTATGTGAAAAGACCAAATCTACGTCTGATTGGGGTACCTGAAAGCGATGGGGAGAATGGAACCAAGTTGGAAAACACTCTGCAGGATATTATCCAGGAGAACTTCCCCAATCTAGCAAGGCTGGCCAACGTTCAGATTCAGGAAATACAGAGAACGCCACAAAGATACTCCTCGAGAAGAGCAACACCAAGACACATAATTGTCAGATTCACCAAAGTTGAAATGAAGGAAAAAATGTTAAGGGCAGCCAGAGAGAAAGGTCGGCTTACCCTCAAAGAGAAGCCCATCAGACTAACAACGGATCTCTCGGCAGAAACCCTACAAGCCAGAAGAGAGTGGGGGCCAATATTCAACATTCTTAAAGAAAAGAATTTTCAACCCAGAATTTCATATCCAGCCAAATTAAGCTTCATAAGCGAAGGAGAAATAAAATACTTTACAGATAAGCAAATGCTGAGAGATTTTGACACCACCAGGCCTGCCCTAAAAGAGCTCCTGAAGGAAGTGCTAAACATGGAAAGGAACAACCGGTACCAGCCCCTGCAAAATCATGCCAAAATGTAAAGACCATCCAGACTAGGAAGAAACTGCATCAACTAACGAGCAAAATAACCAGCCAACATCATAATGACAGGATCGAATTCACATATAACAATATTAACTTTAAATGTAAATGGACTAAATGCTCCAATTAAAAGACACAGACTGGCAAATTGGATAAAGAGTCAAGACCCATCAGTGTGCTGTATTCGGGAAACCCATCTCACGGGCAGAGACACACATAGGCTCAAAATAAAAGGATGGAGGAAGATCTACCAAGCAAATGGAAAGCAAAAAAAGGCAGGGGTTGCAATCCTAGTCTCTGATAAAACAGACTTTAAACCAACAAAGATCAAAAGAGACAAAGAAGGCCATTACATAATGGTAAAGGGATCAATTCAACAAGAAGAGCTAACTATCCTAAATATATATGCACCCAATACAGGAGCACCAAGATTCATAAAGCAAGTCCTGAGTGACCTACAAAGAGACTTAGACTCCCACACATTAATAATGGGAGACTTTAACACCCCACGGTCAACATTAGACAGATCAATGAGACAGAAAGTCAACAAGGATACCCAGGAATTGAACTCAGCTCTGCACCAAGCAGACCTAATAGACATCTACAGAACTCTCCACCCCAAATCAACAGAATATACATTTTTTTCAGCACCACACCACACCTATTCCAAAATTGACCACATACTTGGAAGTAAAGCTCTCCTCAGCAAATGTAAAAAACAGAAATTATAACAAACTATCTCTCAGACCACAGTGCAATCAAACTAGAACTCAGGATTAAGAATCTCACTCAAAACCGCTCAACTACATGGAAACTGAACAACCTGCTCCTGAATGACTACTGGGTACATAACGAAATGCAGGGAGAAATAAAGATGTTCTTTGAAACCAATGAGAACAAAGACACGACATACCAGAATCTCTGGTACGCATTCAAAGCAGTGTGTAGAGGGAAATTTATAGCACTAAATGCCCACAAGAGAAAGCAGGAAAGATCCAAAATTGATGCCCTAACATCACAATTAAAACAACTAGAAAAGCAAGAGCAAACATATTCAAAAGCTAGCAGAAGGCAAGAACTAACTAAAATCAGAGGAGAACTGAAGGAAATAGAGACACAAAAAACCCTTCAAAAAATTAATGAATCCAGGAGCTGGTTTTTTGAAAGGATCAACAAAATTGATAGACCGCTAGCAAGACTAATAAAGAAAAAAAGAGAGAAGCATCAAATAGATGCAATAAAAAATGATAAAGGGGATATCACCACCGATCCCACAGAAATACAAACTACCATCAGAGAATACTACAAACACCTCTACGCAAATAAACTAGAAAATCTAGAAGAAATGGATAAATTCCTCGACACATACACTCTCCCAAGACTAAACCAGGAAGAAGTTGAATCTCTGAATAGACCAATAACAGGCTCTGAAACTGTGGCAATAATCAATAGCTTACCAACCAAAAAGAGTCTAGGACCAGATGGATTCACAGCCGAACTCTACCAGAGGTACAAGGAGGAACTGGTACCATTCCTTCTGAAACTATTCCAATCAATAGAAAAAGAGGGAATCCTCCCTAACTCTTTTTATGAGGCCAGCATCATTCTGATACCAAAGCCAGGCAAAGACACAACAAAAAAAGAGAATTTTAGACCAATATCCTTGATGAACATTGATGCAAAAATCCTCAATAAAATACTGGCAAAACGAATCCAGCAGCACATCAAAAAGCTTATCCACCATGATCAAGTGGGCTTCATCCCTGGGATGCAAGGCTGGTTCAATATACGCAAATCAATAAATGTAATCCAGCATATAAACAGAGCCAAAGACAAAAACCACACGATTCCCTCAATAGATGCAGAAAAGGCCTTTGACAAAATTCAACAACCCTTCATGCTAAAAACTCTCAATAAATTAGGTATTGATGGGACGTATCTCAAAATAATAAGAGCTATCGATGACAAACCCACAGCCAATATCATACTGAATGGGCAAAAACTGGAAGCATTCCCTTTGAAAACTGGCACAAGACAGGGATGCCCTCTCTCACCACTCCTATTCAACATAGTGTTGGAAGTTCTGGCCAGGGCAATTAGGCAGGAGAAGGAAATAAAGGGTATTCAATTAGGAAAAGAGGAAGTCAAATTGTCCCTGTTTGCAGACGACATGATTGTATATCTAGAAAACCCCATTGTCTCAGCCCAAAATCTTCTTAAGCTGATGAGCAACTTCAGCAAAATCTCAGGATACAAAATCAATGTACAAAAATCACAAGCATTCTTATACACCAACAACAGACAAACAGAGAGCCAAATCATGAGTGAATTCCCATTCA
Organism: Homo sapiens; assembly: GCF_000001405.40. Taxonomy (NCBI): domain Eukaryota; kingdom Metazoa; phylum Chordata; class Mammalia; order Primates; family Hominidae; genus Homo; species Homo sapiens. The sequence goes on along the minus strand of NC_000007.14, from coordinate 93,587,507 downwards.
CAATTGCTTCAAAGAGAATAAAATACCTAGGAATCCAAGTTACAAGGCATGTGAAGGAGCTCTTCAAGGAGAACTACAAACCACTGCTCAAGGAAATAAAAGAGGATACAAACAAATGGAAGAACATTCCATGCTCATGGGTAGGAAGAATCAATATTGTGAAAATGGCCATACTGCCCAAGGTAATTTACAGATTCAATGCCATCCCCATCAAGCTACCAATGCCTTTCTTCACAGAATTGGAAAAAACTACTTTAAAGTTCACATGGAACCAAAAATGAGCCCGCATCGCCAAGTCAATCCTAAGCCAAAAGAACAAAGCTGGAGGCATCACACTACCTGACTGCAAACTATACTACAAGGCTACAGTAACCAAAACAGCATGGTACTGGTACCAAAACAGAGATATAGATCAATGGAACAGAACAGAGCCCTCAGAAATAACGCCGCATATCTACAACTATCTGATCTTTGACAAACCTGAGAAAAACAAGCAATGGGGAAAGGATTCCCTGTTTAATAAATGGTGCTGGGAAAACTGGCCAGCCATATGTAGAAAGCTGAAACTGGATCCCTTCCTTACACCTTATACAAAAATCAATTCAGGTGTTGGCCAGGCTGGTCTCCAGCTCCTAACCACGAGTGATCCACCAGCCTCGGCCTCCCGAGGTGCCGGGATTGCAGATGGAGTCTGGTTCACTCAGTGCTCAATGGTGCCCAGGCTGGAATGCAGTGGCGTGATCTCGGCTCGCTACAACCTCCACCTCCCAGCCGCCTGCCTTGGCCTCCCAAAGTGCAGAGATTGCAGCCTCTGCCCGGCCGCCACTCCGTTTGGGAAGTGAGGAGCGTCTCTGCCTGGCCGCCCATCGTCTGGGACGTGAGGAGCCCCTCTGCCTGGCTGCCCAGTCTGGAAAGAGAGGAGCGTCTCTGCCCGGCTGCCATCCCATCTAGGAAGTGAGGAGCGCCTCTTCCCGGCCGCCATCCCATCTAGGAAGTGAGGAGCGTCTCTGCCTGGCCGCCCATCGTCTGAGATGTGGGGAGCGCCTCTGCCCCGCCACCCCGTCTGGGATGTGAGGAGCGCCTCTACCCGGCCGCGACCCTGTCTGGGAGGTGAGGAGCATCTCTGCCCGGCCGCCCCGTCTGAGAAGCGAGGAGCCCCTCCGCCCGGCAGCCGCCCCGTCTGAGAAGTGAGGAGCCCCTCCGCCCGGCAGCCGCCCCGTCTGAGAAGTGAGGAGCCCCTCCGCCTGGCAGCCGCCCCGTCTGGGAAGTGAGGAGCATCTCCGCCCGGCAGTCACCCCGTCCGGGAGGGAGGTGGGGGTCAGCCCCCGCCAGGCCAGCCACCCCATCCGGGAGGGAGGTGGGGGGGTCAGCCCCCCGCCCGGCCAGCCACCCCGTCCGGGAGGGAGGTGGGGGGGTCAGCCCCCCGCCCGGCCAGCCGCCCCATCCGGGAGGTGAGGGGTGCCTCTGCCCGGCCGCCCCTACTGGGAAGTGAGGAGCCCCTCTGCCCGGCCAGCCGCCCCATCCGGGAGGGAGGTGGGGGGGTCAGCCCACCGCCCAGCCAGCCGCCCCATCCGGGAGGTGAGGGGTGCCTATGCCCAGCCGCCCCTACTGGGAAGTGAGGAGCCCCTCTGCCCAGCCAGCCGCCCCGTCCGGGAAGGAGGTGGGGGGGTCAGCCCCCCGCCCGGGAGGTGAGGGGCACCTCTGCCCGGCTGCCCCTAATGGGAAGTGAGGAGCCCCTCTGCCCGGCCACCACCCCGTCTGGGAGGTGTACCCAACAGCTCATTGAGAACAGGCCATGATGACAATGGCGGTTTTGTGGAATAGAAAGGGGGGAAAGGTGGGGAAAAGATTGAGAAATCGGATGGTTGCCGTGTCTGTGTAGAAAGAGGTAGACATGGGAGACTTTTCATTTTGTTCTGTACTAAGAAAAATTCTTATCCTGTTGATCTGTGACCTTACCCCCAACCCTGTGCTCTCTGAAACATGTGCTGTGTCCACTCAGGGTTAAATGGATTAAGGGCGGTGCAAGATGTGCTTTGTTAAACAGATGCTTGAAGGTAGCATGCTCGTTAAGAGTCATCACCACTCCCTAATCTCAAGGACCCAGGGACACAAACACTGCGGAAGGCCGCAGGGTCCTCTGCCTAGGAAAACCAGAGACCTTTGTTCACTTGTTTATCTGCTGACCTTCCCGCCACTATTGTCCTATGACCCTGCCAAATCCCCCTCTTTGAGAAACACCCAAGAATGATCAATAAAAAAAAAAAAAAAAAAAAAAATCAACTCAAGATGGATTAAAGACTTAAATGTTAGACCTAAAACCATAAAAACCCTAGAAGAAAACCTAGGCATTACCATTCAGGACATAGGCATGGGCAAGGACTTCATGTCTAAAACACCAAAAGCAATGGCAACAAAAGACAAAATTGACAAATGGGATCTAATTAAACTAAAGAGCTTCTGCACAGCAAAAGAAACTGCCATCAGAGTGAACAGGCAACCTACAGAATGGGAGAAAATTTTTGCAATCTACTCATCTGACAAAGGGCTAATATCCAGAATCTACAATGAACTCAAACAAATTTACAAGAAAAAAACAAACAACCCCATCAAAAAGTGGGCGAAGGACATGAACAGACCCTTCTCAAAAGAAGACATTTATGCAGCCAAAAAACACATGAAAAAATGCTCATCATCACTGGCCATCAGAGAAATGCAAATCAAAACCACAATGAGATACCATCTCACACCAGTTAGAATGGCAATCATTAAAAAGTCAGGAAACAGCAGGTGCTGGAGAAGATGTGGAGAAATAGGAACACTTTTACACTGTTGGTGGGACTGTAAACTAGTTCAACCATTGTGGAAGTCAGTGTGGCGATTCCTCAGGGATCTAGAACTGGAAGTACCATTTGACCCAGCCATCCCATTACTGGGTATATACCCAAAGGACTATAAATCATGCTGCTATAAAGACACATGCACACGTATGTTTATTGCAGCATTATTCACAATAGCAAAGACTTGGAACCAACCCAGATGTCCAACAATGATAGACTGGATTAAGAAAATGTGGCACATATACACCATGGAATGCTATGCAGCCATAAAAAAGGATGAGTTCATGTCCTTTGTAGGGACATGGATGAAATTGGAAGTCATCATTCTCAGTAAACTATTGCAAGAACAAAAAACCAAACACCACATATTCTCACTCATAGGTGGGAATTGAACAATGAAATCACATGGACACAGGAAGGGGAATATCACACTCTGGGGACTGTTGTGGGGTGGGGGGAGCGGGGAGGGATAGCATTGGGAGATATACCTAATGCTAGATGACGAGTTGGTGGGTGCAGCGCATCAGCATGGCACATGTATACATATGTAACTAACCTGCACAATGTGCACATGTACCCTAAAACTTTAATAAAAAGTAATAATAATAATAATAATAATAATAAATAAAATCTTACTTGTGATGCAAAAAAAAAAAAAAAAATGATAGGCCAGGAGCAGTGGCTCATGCCTGTAATTCTAGCAATTGGGGAGGCCAAGGCAGGTGGATCCCTTGAGCTTACTTGTTCAAGATCAGTCTAGGAAAAATGGTGAAACCCCGTCTCTACTAAAAAAAATACAAAAATTATCCAGGCATAGTGGCATGCTCCTGTAATCCCAGCTACTCCAGAGGCTGAGGTGGAAGGATCTCTTGAGCCCAGGAGGCTGAGGTTGCAGTGAGCTGAAATGGCACCACTGCACTCCAGCCTGGGTGACACAGTGAGACGCTGTCTCCAAAAAAAAAGTGAATATGGAGTCAGGCAATTTCACCAATAAATAATCATCATTTATTGATAGGACTTTTTTTAACTTTGCTAAGAGCTTCACATACTTTATTTCATTTAATCCCCATAGCATACTCATAGTTAAGTTGTGTGTGTGTGTGTGTGTGTGTGTGTGTGTGTGTTTAGACTGGGTCTCATTCTGTCACCCAGGCTTGAGTGCAGTTTAATCCCCATAGCATACTCATAGTTAAGTTGTGTGTGTGTGTGTGTGTGTGTGTGTGTGTGTGTGTGTGTGTGTTTAGACTAGGTCTCATTCTGTCACCCAGGCTTGAGTGCAGTGGTATGGACATGGCTCATTGCAGCCTTGACTTCCTGGGCTCAGGTGATACTCACAACTGATAATTTTCCTCCCCTTGGAGACAGAGTCCCACTCTGTTGCCCAGGCTGGAGTGCCATGACACGATCTCAGCTCACTACAACTTCGCCTTCGTGGGCTCAAGCGATCCTCCTGCTTCAGCCTCCTGAGTAGCTGGGATTACAGGTATGCGCCACCACGCCCAGTTACTTTTTGTATTTTTAGTAGAGAAAGAGTTTCGCCATGTTGGCTAGGCTTGTCTCGAACTCCTAACCTCAGGTCATCCACTTGCCTTGGCCACACAAAGTGCTGGGATTACAGGCGTGAGCCACCACACCAGGCCCCACCTCAGAATTTTTAGCAGTATTTTTTTAGATGAGAAAACTGAGGCTCAGAGACAAACAATTTGCCAAAGTATAGAAAAATGGGAGATGACTCACAGCAGGATTGAAAACCCATCTGCTCTATTATTTAGTGTAAATTGATAATACCACTATCACTACCACTAATGCCACAACTACCACCTCTACCCACATCTCAAGAATCACTGCCACCATCACAACCATTAGCACTACCACCATTACTTTATGATTAGTACAACCACAGTCTCCAACACTATTACCCCTACCATGACTATCAGCATGACTACCACCAGCACCATCAAATCACCACAAACATCAATACTACCACCTGCAGCTTCATCACTATCACTATCACCACCACTGCTACCATTATGTCTGCTACCACCACTGTCATCATCCCACCAACAGCAATACCAGAACAACTGCACGACCACCACCATCACTATCTTACTAGGAACAATCACCATCAAATCATCACTACTTCCACTACCAGTACTGCCATTGCTGCCAGCACCACAACCATCTCCACTGCCACCATTGCACCACCACCATCACCATAACTAACACCACAACCACCATCACCACCACACCACTTTTTCCATTACTACCACCACCACCATCAACATTACCACCTGTGCACCAGTACCACCAATCTCACCACTAATGCCAACCATCTCCACCACCAATACTCCCTTCTGTCTCTCAGGGATATTAGTTCTTTTAAAATCAAATCTCCTTCCAGGAAAAATAAAGCACACCCATAAAATCCCCCACAAATTAATTTATTTCCCAACTTCATACATCGCAAGGGGCATGTCCACCTCTCTCCCAGTACATGGAATGTCCCAGTACATGTCCACCATATTCCCAGTACAGATAGTTGAGAAGATATTTCTGAGAGAAAGAAAACCAGAATTAGTCCTACTTTCCATAGTCATGCAGTAACGTATTTTATAGACTAAAGTATATTTCCAAATTTTAAAAGAATAAAGTTTAAAAGATGATATGCATATTTGCAGGGAATGATTCTAAAGCCTTGTTACTTAAAAGACGACCCATGAACATTTCACCAGCATGACAGCTCATTAGAAATGCGGAATCTCAGGCCCCACTCTTGACATGAAAATCAGAATCTGCATTTTAGCAAGATCCCTAGGTCATCTGCAGCACATTAAAACATCACCCTAAATCCCTTAACCAAATCTATCATTCTGCATATCACAGTGGGTGATTTTGGTTTGGCCATTTTTATGAAGATTTCAACTCAGACTCATGATAAAGATAAAAATATTTCCTTTTAAATAATATTTTACTATAGAGCTGCTTTCAAAAAGCTGAGAATCTAGGTGGCTCATCACTGAGTAATAAAAAAGAAAACAGGTATTTTTTAGAAGGGTGAAGGCAGGCTGCATCAAGTATGAGGACAGATTTTGAGTATATGGGAAAAGAATATCAGAAAGGGTTAAATGACAACGTAAAATATGAAGAGATATTTGAAAGAAACAATAACAGAGAGAAAACATTCTTTAAATAGAGCAGGAATACAGAGGACATGGGAAAATGCTGCCCCCCTTTGAAGTAGAGAAGAGAAAGCTGGTAAAAGCTGAAGCTAAAGTGATAGAGGCAGTTAGTGAGCTTCTGAAGATATGATTTTCACTTCCTTCCCCACAATATATATAGTAATCTGTAATCAATTTAGTGCTTTGTAATCAACTTTTAAGAATGACAACCTCAGTGACCAGGGGAGTTTAAGAATCACCCCAGGGATAAAATACAGCATCTCTTCCACTTCCTTTCTGCTCTCCAACCCTTCCCTCGTTCCTGGTCATTTCTTTCTCTTTATGGTGAAAGATTCCTTTTCTCTTTTCAGTTTCTATCTTTGAAACATTTGTGCACCCTCATCGTCTTCCTTTCTGAGTAATATATGCAATTAAACTTAATTTCTGAAGTATTTATAAATGCCTATCATGGGCCTATTCTTCAGTCATTTAGAATCATAGGATTTTTGAAAATTAGAGAAGCCTACAAAAAGTAGAGCAGCTCATCTGATTTCATAGCCTTTAAGGGCTTAAACTTAATCGCTGTGTTCTCTCTTTCCTTCTTCTCCTGCCAGCCAGGACTGGTGTTGATGGGACAGCAGATCCCAAATTCTGCAACATTTTCATATGTTTTCGGCCTCCAATTTAGCAATTGGGTTGTTAAACTTCCTGTTTTTCTTTTGCCTTAAAAGTATCTTTTCTCAGTGTTTTGTACTGATTTCATTTTCTTTTCTATGCAATAAATGCCCCAGCCATGCAAATTGTCACCCAAATAACATTTCTGTTTGAACTATGGAGTGGAAAGAATCTGTGATAAACGTTTAAGTGCAATATCCAAAGAAAAGTTGGGTGTTCAACATATTCCACTGTTACACAATTTCATTCACATATATTTACTATGTAATTTTAAATGTCACCTCTTATAGTAAAAAAGGAAAAGTCCATTTCTGGAGCATGTGTAGCTCTGTGTTCCTAACACTCACTCACACCAGAATCTGTTAGTGCTGGTGTATTAGATTTCAGAGAGACGATAACTAGTAAAAGCAAATATCTTCCCGGCAGAATTAATCCCCTCCGTTTTGAGCTCCCAGGGCACTGGGAAATACTTCTGCTGCAGATGTTTGAATTTTATTTATTAATTGTCTAAATGGCTTGCCTTCTCCATTAGCCTATACTCAGGTGAAAAGACAAAACTCTCTGCTATTCAGATGGCTAGGTGTTCAGTTTGTGACTGAATTGGAAATTATTTGTTTGAAAGATTTGTGTTTGGTTGTCATTTAAAAATATGTGAATACGTATAGAATTGCCTAGTAAAATAATCTTATGCCTGGCTATTTTTTACCTATAAGTAGACTTACATCTGTTAGTAACTGAACAAGGATTAGCTGAATATGTATTAATATATATGTTAGACTGCCTGTGTTAGAATCTTGAATCCTTTGTCAAATCATTTACTGTGCTGTCTTTGCATCTGTACAATGCAAAATAATAATTGTGCCTACCTCATAGAGTTAAAATAAGAAAATGCATTAAGATGCTTAATAAAATGCTCAGCACATAGTAGATGTTCAGTAAGGCAAAATTAATAGAACTGTTGATTTGTAATCAGAAAACAGAAAAGTAAGACTTGTAGCCATTAAAGACAAGTTTTGCTTTAGGTCTGGGGTAAGTTCCATATTTCTTTGCATTTTAGCATGTTGCAAACATATCCTGAGACAATCTAAGCTATAAAGTTAGTGCCATGTGAGGGTTCTTTCCTAATTCAACTTTATGTAGACCAACACAGAAGTACAGAAAAATTATCATTACCTATCTCATGCCTCTCATCTCCTAGATTCCTGAGCACTGACTAAATAGGAATAAATTACAAAGAGCGTTTTACAAAGACACACGTGTGCATACACACACACACAATATCACAATCCCAAAAGAGTAGATTCCTGACCCAAATGTTATTTATTTTTATTTAAAGGGAGGTGAACCAGCACTTTATGAGAATTTTACTATGGAACTCATGATGACTGGCTTCTCATTTACATCTCAGCTCAAATAGAGCTTTTCCTGGCTATCCTAGAATAGCATTACCCCATGCCTGCCTCTCAGTTCCCTGTTAATGATATTTTAACATTGTCAGTATCTGAAATTAACAATTTACTTCTTATTTTGTTTGTTACCTATCTCCCTCTTCCCACTAGAATATAAGCTTTGAGGCCGCAATTTTTCATTATTTGTTGAATGAATTAATGAATGAATGTCTGCGTACATTTGCTTCTGCAGTATTTTTTCTGGCTCCTGGGTTTCCCTTTAGAATTTTATTTAAAATATAAGAAATGGATATTTCTGAACTTCATCAGAGATGGAGCAATTAGTTTCCACTGCTGCTTTATGGTGTAAGTCCCTGCCATCTCCTCCTACTCTGAGTTATTTACACATTAAGTTAACAGTTAACCAAAGTGAAGTTTATGTAAGTACAATCTGGAAAGACACTTCCTAGTTCAAGTGGAATTTGTTTTTTCCATGCCAAAAGACACGTTCTCTAGAGAAACACAGCCGTGTCACACCCTTGGAAAGATGAGGAGAGAAGAGAGACTTACAAGTACCCCAGCTCCTGTTTCTGAAAGACAGGTGGAAAATCGAAGCAGGACACTTCCTTCAAGAGAGCATGATTTATCAGGTCAAAGTTCGAATTGTTTTCAAAGGAAAACATTTATTTTTCACTAAGGCAAATTATTATTTGCCCTGTCATGGTGAGGCCTGTAAATCTAGGAAGAGTAATTATATAAAGAATAATTACCAGCTGTTGTCTATTTGGAAGGAGACTACAAGAGGAAGAAACAAATGTTCTTGAATAGACTGTGGGCTTCTTGAGGGTAGGAGCTGCATATTGTGCTTTTTGGGTCCCCCATAAGCGGCTAGCCAAGGGTGTTGTGAAATTATGTGGTGTTAAATATGTACTAAATTACCAACACATAAGCATAACGGATTGAGCTGGATTTCAATGTAAGGAAAACTTTGCTGATAGGGAGCTATTCAAGTTAACCATTGGATTCCTGAGAGAGTCCAGAAATTTTTTCTCTAAATTCCTGTTAAAAAAAGAATAAACTCTATTTAACCTTACAACAATTTTTTTCCAAGAAGAACTAAATGACTTTTTTCAGTCTCTACAAAGTGTGACCTCCCTCACATTAACCATATTTAACAGGAATAGGTATTAATAGAGCTAGTCTTTAATAATGGGCAATCTTCCCTCCATTCACTGAAATTCAAAACTTTAGTGATTTTTAAGGAAAAGTCACTGAATTCTCGAACCATAAGTGTCCAGAAAGTGGTATGTATGGTTCAAACTCTGGCAAACCTTGCTTGGAAAGACAGAGTTGAGAGGTCAGATAATCCTTTGCTAGTGGCAGAACTTCACACCCTCAGCAATGTAGATGGAGGGTTTCATAATTGAAGTGGAGTTTGCATTGAAAAGTCTGTAGACAAGATCCACAGAATACTTCTCCCTAAATTAGTAACTGTCCAAAGGGGAAATTTTCTAAAGAGGAAGAGGGACAGAGAGAAAGGGGCAAAGTATCATAAAGACAGGGGATTTTAAAATAAATAATCAATAAAAGTACCAGGAATGTGTGACTACCACATTTTAAGATGCTTATTTTATGAATGCCCCTTTGATGAACTAATTTCATTTGAAAGCTTATTTGCAAATATAAGGTATTCCACTTGAAGAATAGCTTATTCTAACCCAGTGTCTTTAGGTATTTTTGTGATCTACAGAAAGAAATACATTTTACTTTGCAATTTCATACACAGAGATAGAGAGAGAGAGAGAAATAAGACAAGTTTCAAGAAACCACTCTTGTGCTTTCAAATGGCGATGAACTCTGATATTTTCTATCCTATTCCACTTCATTTTTTAAATGTTACTTATGCCCACTAACTTGATTTCAAGATCCAGTAATGGGTCTCATAACATTTTCAAAACAATGCCAATTCCCCTTATCAGACCATCCCCATGTTAACATCCACCCTCCAAAAACTTACCACACTGTGTCCATGTAGGAAATACTGTGATAATATTAAGAAAGCAGTAGACTTAAATTTCTGTAAAATCCAAGTGTTTCCAACAGGTACATAACCCCTTTGGTGTTCAATAAATATCTGTTACTGACAAAGTCAATTTAATCTTCTTAGGGGACAAGAGAGCTTCATCCCTGATCTTGCTTCTGCTGTGTCACCTTCCCTGAAATATTCTGCCTACAGAGAACTCTCATTGTTTCCCCCAATATTGTATCTAACACAGTTCACACTTTAATCAGCTGAGGTTGCTTATGCTTAGACCACAAACAGTTTAAAGTTTTATGATACACCCATGCCATTTTTCTCAATAACTTTTAGACTTTGTTTACATTATGGTTAAGGGCTGCATCCCACATATATTCATTAGATTTATAGAATCAAGCCCATCCTGCTCTCAGAATACTGGTTATCAATATCAGGTAGGCTGCCCTAGGATTTAACCTCCAGCGGAAAAATCTCCTTGTACTTGTTCTATCACACAATGCCGAGGGCGGCAACACTTTCTACTCAGCAATAGTCTCCCTGAATCATTGTTATTTCAGTGACTTGGGCTACAACCTGAGAAATTCTCAATGTTTGGCCCCAGCAGTTGACCATAGGAGACTCTCAAACAACTTTAATATTTCTCTGCTGTTTGCACCAAAAGAAGGTAATTAATATTCCAAAAGAGAATTCTTAAAGGAGGTCATGGTCAAGTGTTGGCTGGTCAGGAGCAGTTGGAAAGCAGGGAGCTATTGAACTCAAGACAGATTGAGCCCAACCCAGCACGGAGTGAAGATTCCTATCTAAGTTCTGAATTCGGAAGGGTTTCTTATACAGGCTTTGTTTAAGTTACTGTGTCTGTGTGTGTGTGTGTGTGTGTGTGTGTGTGTGTGTGTGTGTGTGTGTGTGTGTGTGTGTGTATGTTCCTTTCAAAGCCTCCTTGTCTCCCAGTTGCCCAGCCTCCTTTCCTAGTCACATTTCTTACTGCTAACAACATCATTCTCACTTATCCTGGGAATGAAGGGACTGTACAATCTTCCTCTGCAGTGAGGCAGTGCCTTAGGGTTTGAATGCACAGTGAGTCACACACAGCCCTCTGGGTCACCAGACTGGAGGTGACAGGGAAGGGGGGAGTATATAGAGGAGGGAGCCTGGAAAAACAAAATCCCTGGAATGTTGGGTGGGAGAGCTGATCTGATCCTTGAGTCTGTCCTCCACTGGATCTCCTGAAAGCCTCAACCACACAAATTAGGGGTCCCTGTTGTCTCTCTGGGGTGGGGTATGAGGATTCAAAATAAAACAGGAGCATGCAAAATAAAACGGGGACATTTTTTGCCTACAGTCACTGATGTTTCCATGGAAGAGCTCCAAGGATGGTTGGGTGAGGGCTGCAGTTCCATTCACAGGACACCTCCTTCTCTGTCACCCGGTGTTGTCCCGTGTGCTTATGAGAACCTAAGATCACCAGGGAAAGTGTGCTGTCGCCGTCTGGCTTTCTTCCCCTCCCATTAAATGATTGCTATTATTTCTTTTGCCAAGGAGACAGTGTTTAGTAACCTCGACGGTGCACGGCCACCTTGTGGTCCCGGGACGCACCGGATGCTGTTTTCTTAGTCCAACACCGCCTAAACAGAGTTAGGGAAAAAAGTGTTGGCTCCTGCCTTGATCCACCCAGTTGTGGGCTAAAAGAGGTTGAGGGTGACTCGTCCTTGGAATCAACTTGCCTGCCTCCCAGGGCGTGCCTGCCAGCCTCCGCTGCGCCCCGCCTGGTATTGGATTGTCCCGGACTCCTGCTGACATCGAGGGCTTTAGGGGGAAAGAAGAGGAGTCGCAGTGTCCGGCACCAAGTCAGGCACCCCATATCCCCGTCTTCCCTCGCCATCCTCTCTGTTTTCATTCACCCTAAAACACTGTGCCCACCAGCAGTCCCCTACACGGAGGGCACTCTTTCTCCAAATCCAAGTTATGCCTCCAGCCTACAGCCGCCCAACTCCGGACGCTTTCCCAGGGCTTGCCTGACCCCCAAGGTGTCTCTTCTCATCTCCTTCCTCTCAGCACTTTTTTCCTTTTAGCACCCCAGCTCTTAGCCAGCCGTCTTCCCACGTCCTCACCCCACTTTCACTACCTAGCCCACTACCGACCCTCCCTCCACAGGCTCCCTAGTGCTGTCCCCGGAGTGGCGGCTGAAGAAGCCAGGGTCACAATGTCTCTGGGATAAGGTTCTTGTGGAAACTCACCTCCCTCCGGAATTTGCATTCTCCGGGGAGGGGACAGGGCTCCCAGAAAGCTGTCTCCCAGTCCAGACTGTCGCCCCCCTCTCCCTCCCTACTCAAGGTCTAACTCGGGTCCCTCGCCTGCTTCCTGTGTTTACGCGGCGCTTTAGTCTCCCGGACTCGCAGGGTGAGCCCCAGCCCTGACTGGAGCGAGACAGCAGCCGCGAGCGCAGCCCCACTCGCGGGCCGGGGCGACTGGGGCTGGCGCGAGGCGCACGGAGCTCACCAGCTCGCCCCTCCCTCTCCTGGGACAGGAGGGGGCTGACTGGGGTGGCGGGGTCCGGGAAGGGGGGCTGGCTCTCATCAATTCTGCTGCCACCTCCTCTGCCGCCTGTCGGGAGGCGGGCGGGGGTGGGGCGGGAGCGCAGGCTAGGATTGAGACTCTTAAGTCAGGAGAAGTTTGCGCACAGCTTCACAGCTGGGAGAGCGCAGGAAGGCGCCGGGAAGGTGAGCCTCCTGGACTCTGGGGAGGTAGAAAGCAAGCCAGGGGAAAGAACAGTTGTCTTTTAGCTGATAATACAACCTAGACTTGGGTCTGAACCACCTAAGACAGATTTAAAGTGTCAGAAAACCAGGAGAGGGGCGGAGAGGGAGGACTGAGACTAACGCAGTTTGCTCTCGCATCAAACTAGGAAAGCCAGCCCACCAGCGTCTGGGTGGGCTGCGCCGCGCGGCTGGCGGACCTTCCCGGGTTGGAGAAGTGCGCACGTCCGCACCTCACCCTGCGGCTGACATCTCCTGCCCAGGAGATGGGCGCTGAAGCTTGAGCGCCTGAGTCCCTGGAGCCACACCTGCGAACACCCTTTGCTTCTATTGAGCTGTGCCCAGCCGCCCAGTGACAGAATTCCAGGTAAGGAGCGTTTGGAAATGAGCGGGACTTAACGATTTGGGGTGTCCAAGGGATGTTTAACAGTGCAGGTGCTATAGGCACCTTGCTTTTTGATTATAGAAATGTGGTTTGATTGCGGTGCTTGTGGTTCTCATGTAGGGTCAGCTAGGTCTTAGATGCTTTACTTTACCCTTGTCAAAGAAAAAAGAAAAATAGGTGTCCTGGGAAGAGCCAACAACTTATGGTTTCGTATTGAAGAATCGTTTGATTTCTTGTGACTTTTACTATGTTGTTCATATCAATTTTCCCTCAAAAGTTTTATTCTCCAACTTATTGGGTAGGAAAATTACGGAGGTTAAAGTTGTGAATTTTCCCAAAGGGTGTTTATTAACTGACAAACATATAATATCAGCATCTATAAGATGTGTCATGGTTGTTCTGGATATTGGAAATGAGCACAGTAGTGAATGGAGTTGCTTGTTAAGTCATGTTTTACAGAGAATAGTTTTCCAACAATCATTTATGCATAGCAGCCATTCTTCACACCTATTAGGAAAAATATGTTGTGTGCATAGTTTCCAAAAGAGTACTCTTTTTCATGATGCTCTTCCCAAGCCTGGGTGAAAGACATCAAGAAAAGCTGTAACAAATTAATTCCTTTTCTCAAAACATTCATTTTCCTTGAGGTCCAAGTCAAAAATCAACAATACAATTGAGATTAGTAAACTATCATACAGACTTTATTTGGCAAATCTACCTAAGAAAAGTTTCATATGAAAGCTTTAACCTAATACTATGTGACATATGCAAGAAGAGAACGCAGGGTTTCACTTGCCGATCTTAAGGAGACCCTGACTATTTCCAGGCTGTGGTTAACCGGAATCAAGTTATCTATGTAAGGCTATTTGTTGAAATTATTCGGTGATTGAAGGTGAAATGTTCAAAATAAGTCAAAGTTTTACAATGTAGTTCTTAAAGCTAATCTTTAAATTACAGAGCGTCCGAGTTTAAGTCTGTCTTAAATGATCATAGAAAGCAAATATTTTATGTATTTGGGCCAGTTGACTTACCATTAAGGACAAAGTAGGAATGCTTTTAGTATTATGGAATTTATAAAGTGTAATTTCTAATAGGATATTGCTAGCCTATGAGTTCAGTAGTAAAATAACTCAGCTTTAAAAAGTTGAGATTGCTGGTTATACACCAGTATTATGAGAGAAACTAAGATGATTAGATTTGTAAAACCTTTACAGTTTAAGTTGGTATTCTCAGTGGATACTCATTTCTACTCAATATTTTAACATAACTCAAAACATCCATCAGCCAGGATTTGTTCTGGTTCAATGCCTCTAACCTGTAGTTTATTTTATGAACTATAGCCCAAGAATAATATCTGGTCATATTATAAAATGTTCTAAGTTTATTCATTGGCTACATCAACACAATAAGTAAACAAGAAATCTTCATTATAACCAGTTTATAAGAACACATAGATAATCTTGGAGTTGTTTTGTTTCATGATTCTCAAAGTTAAAAAGAAATAGCTGATATAAATACGTCTTCTGTTTCTCATTTTGAAACTGGAGGTAATGATTGATGGTGGATGGAGAGCATTTGCTCTAATCAGTTGAAGAAAGGGAGCTAACTATTAGTTTAGTTGTGCCATGGCAATTCTGTTCTTGATGAACCTCTCAGACTCTGTCAATGTTAACATGAATGGAAATATTATCTACTGTTGGTTTTTATTAGAGTCCTAGTGAAATGGAAATAGGAGACCGGTAATGGTTTCAATGATAATCTAAATCAGTATTCTCAACTCGGGCTGCAAATTAGGGTTAATAGGAGAACTTTCAAAAAATACGGATGCTCAGCCTTACCCCAATTCAATCAAATCAGAATATCTGTGGAAAGGGTCTGCAATTTGATGTATTTCTTTAGGTGATTGTAATATGCAACCAGGATTGAGAGCCACTGACCAAGAGGGTTTCCACCAGACTTGGTAGAACTCATTGATGTGGGAGGCTTTTGATAAAAATAAATGTTGTTTGTTATATCGCTGGTCAAATAGTTTTTTCTTTAAAAAAAAGAAACATATATGTATAAACATACATATATATGTATAACTTGATCTTACAATTAGAAGAAAAATATTTTAATATTTGATGTTAGATATTTAGACCGTAACAGCTTCTCGGAAAAACATTTTTTATCCAGAAAACAAGCTATTGAGTTTGAAATTGATCTGCCCATCCAGAAAATGTTTTAGTAAATGAACTCCAGCTTTAAGAGATGTTGAAAATAATACTTGATGAAACATACAATTTCATCTCCTTTTGCTTAAGACCTGTATACTGTGTAAAGTACAAATACGTACCCTTTTGAAAGAGGAGAAAGAGGAAAATAGCATCATTCCCCTTGGCACACTAACTACCATATACCCGGTGCCAATGATAATCTAGTACTTTTACAAAAAATATGTTTTAAGCTAAGAGTAGCCTTGTGAGTTACAAGCTATTATCATTATTTTATGTATGAGGAAATTGAGGACCCATTAGATTAATGAACTCGCTCAAAGCCACGAACCAAGTAAATTAAAAATATATTTGAACCCAGGTCTTTTTAAGTTCAATGATGGATTACATTATATATTTATTTACATATTTGTATTTTTTACAACTTAACAGCAGCATTTATTTAGAGATAATATAAGTTAAGAGTACAAATTCTGGCACAGCTCTGCTTGAGTTTGACTTCTGATTCCATAACTTTCTATCTGTGTGATTTGGGCACATAATGTAACTTCTCGGTGCCTTAATTTTCTTTGTAGAATAAGAATTAAATGAGTTAATATTTGTAAAGCATTTGGGTAGGTGTCTGGTACATGGTAAGTTCTATGTGTTATATTTTTTTAAATGTCATTCATTCAAAAAAATTTTTATTGTTATATGCCAAGCATTGCACTAAGCCTGAAGATACATAGACAAATAAGTCATATCCCTATCCTCAAGGATGTCGTGTCTAGTAGAGAATGACAAGAACATAAGTAATCATCCCAATCAGGTATAGATCTTTTACTTAATTAAAAGCATCATTTCTTGACAACTGTGTGCTTTTCCATGTGAATGTGATCTTCCAGAGCTTCATATAATGAGTGTTATAAAACCAAGTGATAAGATTTTGTGTTTTCATAATGATACTAACTTGTTTTCAATTCTAGTATCAAAACACAGAAAATCATATTAACATATGTTTCTGGCTTCCCTTATACATTTAGAAAACCAGCAATATAGAGAGGTTTGAGATCTTTAAAATTTTATATTAAAAGTGAATCATGAAGATAGAACATTGGAGAATAATCAGTAGAAAAAATGTTATCAGTATCTGTTCCTCAATACTTCTAACAGTAATTTTCTTGAATTGGCTTTTCAAAAACAGTTTTGTCTGATTAGAATGTAGTTTTGGTTTTGTTTTTAAGAAAAAAAATGTTTCAGGGAAGAAAGAGTGGATCACAGGATACAGAAAAATGTCCCTAATACAAGTTGGCAAGGCAACATATACCTCATTGAAGCTGGCAGCACTTCCTAGTCTATGCCTGCAGCTCTGCACAGCTGCCTGGTACCTCCAGGGTACCAGTGGATACCTGAGGTATAAGATTCTGTCTTTGTTAAAAATTAAAGTCCCTGTTTATTTTTTAAAAATAGCATATAAATTGGTATTCTTTGTACCAGAATAACACAGATAATCTAAACTCAAGGAGTTATTTCTCAAAGAAGTAAAGTACCTGGTTCAGTGAAATATTTAACTATTCCATTTCACTAAAATTTATGTTTAACTATTTCAGTAAAATTTATGTCTTTCCTCTCTCTTATCAAGTCTCAGACTACCTCCAGTTTTTCCCATGGATGCTACATTTTTCTTCCTCTAAGTATCGCTGCCACACCTCTAGTTTAAGTTTTTATTATCATTAATAAAATATTTATTCTCCTAATATTCAGTCACATTAAGTTTCTATGTGCTAACTTCAGTGTTATAGAACATGGTTAGACTTGTTTTCTAATCTTTAATTTCTCCCCCTCTGTTCATAATTATTCAGTAATGGTCCAAGGACTGCAAGACTTAGAACCCCTCTTCAGCCTGGTATTTAAGATGTTTCATGGTATAATCCTAGTTTAGCTTTCCTATCCAAGTCAGGTAGAAAACCTCAACAGCTCCTTAATTTTAGTTCTGAAGCTGTAGTTACACCAGAAAAATTGACTCCTGATTTGGAGTCCATTCTTCACTTTTAACCCTGTGCCCTTGCATGTCAACCTCAGTCTATATTCTTCTGCCTCAAAATTGAAGTGTGTGTGTGTGTGTGTGTGTGTGTGTGTGTGTCCCTTTACATCAATGGTTCCATTGTAGAGCTGCTTTTCTTTGGTTTTCATGTCTCGCTGCAACCCTAGTCTCACTCCCTGCCCTTTATTTGTCCGGTGGTTCAGAATTCAACATTTCAAATCTTACCTTCCTTCATCCTTAAAATGTATTAATCATTCTCCCATAACACATCTAACAAATTTCCATCCTATAGCTTTGCTCATATTTTAAAACTGAATAAATATGTACTAAGTGCCTATTATGTCCTAGTCAGGGGATATTGTGACAGATTACAGATCCTGATTTCATGGGGAATGGAAAAGACAGACAAACCAACAAACATTATACAGCCCTGTGGTATGTATTCCAATAGAGAAATGCCATGAGGGTGCCTAGCCGGACAACCAGCCCGGACATCAGGGAAATTTTCTAGGGAGGTTACCCTAAAGGGCATATGATTCAGCATTGAAATGACAGAACAGAATGAGCTAGATAAAGAGGGGAAGAAATGAAGTGTTACAGGCAGGACACCAGATTGTGGCTTGAAACAACATGGTGACTTGGGGAAACCACAGGTATTTTTGTTGCCCCAGCAGGGTTAAAGGACACAGATTATACACAAAGAAGCTTGCATGCCTACCATACTAAAGGGTTTGCATTTTATCAGGAAGATAGTGGGGGGTCCTTGAAGGAGTTAATATAGGTTACTGAAATAATCAGATTTGCCATTTTGGTAGATCTCTCTGGTGGAAAATAAGAGGCATATTAGATTGAAAAAAAGGATGGATACAGATTAACTGGACACACGCAGCCTTACTGCAGTGACAGAGGGAAGAATCAATTAGGGCCTCCTTGTTGGAGACAGAAAAGAAAAAAAAACGAAATTATTTTAAAGGTAGATTTTGTAGGATTTGGTGAACGATAGAAATTAGAGGTGAGATGAAAGAGAAAAATTGTATGATGAATTCCAGGCCTCTTTCATGGATAATAAGAGAGATGTGATGTCATTCACCAAGTCGGGACAAGGAGTATTTTGGACAGGCAAGATAAATAGTTGAATTTGGAGGAAAAAAAAATAATGTCTTTGGCTCATCCATGTGATGATGTTAAGTAGAAGTGCATATAGAAATTAGTGCCTCAAGAGAGAATTTGGTACTAGAAATATAAATTTAAGAGACATAGTGAATCTATTTCAGCTGACAGCATAGGAATAAAGCATATTATCTCTGGAGAAGTAAAAACAGGGAATAAAGAAAGAAAACATAGAGGAAAAAATTAAAGGTAGAAAATTAAAAGAAAAGTAAAACATCTTAGAATCCTGGAAAGCACCAATATTTAAAGGGAAATGGAAAACAATCCTGCAAAAAAAAGACAGAGATGAAAGACTACAGGAGAGAGACAGAGAGAGAGAGAGAGAGAGAGAGAGAGAGAGAGAGAGAGAGAGAGAAAGTAATTTTATGGAAACCAGGGAGGAGAAAGCGAGCACTCATGCGGGATGTTACCAGTAGATCAAGTGGGATAAGGATTGAGAGCTCGCAATTGCATTTAATTGAGAGCAATTTTAGTCGTGAGTTGGGTGTGGGTTGAGAAATAAATGTGAAATGAGGAAATGGAGACACTGATTGTACACAATAATTTCAATCAGTTTGAGACGCCTGCCTTACTTTATTTTCCCTTTTTGAAAGGTGCAGTCTCCTAAAGCTTAACTTACATGCTGCTTCCTTCTTTTTAGCCTTTCCTGGACAGCGTTTAATCCCCCCAACAAAGATGTCATATCACATCATGATTGATATCCCTTGTTTTAGAGTTTCCAGAGGTCCCATGCATGTGAGCTGTGTGCGTTTGCATGTGTATGAATATATAGGTATATATTAAATACCCATGTAGTATGTAAAGTATTTTTCTCTGTTGCCATGCATTCATTGAAATAATTTTCTTAATCTCTTTATTATGATAGTGTATGGGGAGAAAAATGAGTTTATAAGCCCCTGCCCTCAATAATAATGATCTGGAAATTCTAGGATTTCTGCATATACCAAATATTTTCCAGACTGTTTGTGTACTTAAAAGTTGCATAGAGCAGGATGAGTTCATGTCCTTTGCAGGGACATGGATGAAGCTGGAAACCATCATTCTCAGCAAACTATCACAAGGACAGTGGCATGTTCTCACTCATAGGTGGGAATTGAACAATGAGAACACTTGGACACAGGGCAGGGAACATCACACACTGGGGCCTGTTGGGGGGCAGGGGGCTGGGGGAGGGATAGCATCAGAAGAAATACCTAATGTAAATGACGAGTTGATGAGTGCAGCAAACCAACATGGCACATGTATACCTATGTAACAAACCTGCACGTTGTGCACGTGTACCCTAGAACTTAAAGTATAATTAAAAAAAAAACTTTTTATAAAAAAAATTTGCATAGATAAATTTTTCAGGCCAAATATAGCAATTTTTGAATCACAAATTATAACATTTTATACTTGTTTTATGGTGGTTTAATCTCCCTTTTGTATTATTTTCTTATTTCTCTATCAGATTACAAAAGACAGGGTCATCATTATTTCTTTGTCCCAGCACATCCAGGAGACCCTCTCTTCTCTTAGAGAAATTAGTTAAGACTTCCCTAAATGTGTCCATAAATAAAGTGTTTTTTATTTCTCCTGCACACTGAGGCTTAAAGTTTTCTTGTTTTAAGTTATCAACTAGCTGTTTCCCCAGAGCTTTCAGCTATTCATCTGTAGTACTTCCTCCAAACCAATAATTCATTCATATTCTTAACATCCATTCTTCTATTTTGGGTTTGAGTTGGTTTTCTTTAGTGAGCATTTAAAACATAGCACACATATTCAGAACATAGCATTCAGTTTAATCATGCAGAACTGTTTCCCAACAGCCCTCTGCCCTCTTAATCACAAAGTCATACCTCTATTTCTCCTCTGCTTCTTGCACTAGGCTGGAGCTACTTAGGTGGTATTTATACCTCTTATAGGCAAGAAAAACAAAACTAAACTAAACATTTTTCCTTCTCATTTTCCTAATGTGGATCCAAGCCCTGAAAGCAATTAATCCTAAATTGTTTGAATAGCTGATTTTCCGCAAGTTAATATTAATACCTCCTAGATTTCCCAGGTATAACTAAAAATAGAAAACAAAAACAAAAACAAAAAACAGCTACTATTCATTGAGCCCTTACTGTGTGCAGGATACAATGATACTCAGTGACTTCCTGAGACAATCATATGGTATATTATCAAGCCCATTCTACAGGTAAGGAAATAGGGCAGAAAACTTACAGGGACCCAGCAAGGTTCATACATCTCTGAGTGGCAGAGCTGGAACTCAAACCTAAGTTCGCCTAAAACCAAAAGACTATGCTCTCTCTGCTGCTGTACTCAAATGGAATTTTGAAGGCGACTTAGACGTTTCTTTATTTTAATATAATTGGTATATTAATTGTCTTAGATGATCAGAGCCTGTAAGTAACAGAATTAGGAGCCTCTCTCAATGGATATTTCAGCCGATCTCTTATAGGCTTTAAACTCAGCTCTCCAACTCAATCAGGCCACCGGAACTGTGACTATACCTATAACCAAATTCCAGCCTTTTGGTATAACCTGGAATAGTTCAGGATCACACTTCATATTAAGTTTACATTCCAGATAGCTAAGTATACAAACATAACATTACTGCACAGAAAAAAAAAGTGAAATGTGATATAGTTCTTCTAGGATTTCATAGGTTTTTATTGTCTGTCCCAAATCTGTCTATTAAGTAGGCAGACATCAAGTAAATTTAATTGCAAATGGATTTTAGTTTGGTGTCAGCTCTTAATAAATATGAAAATTATATTTATTGTATTATAGGAAAAAAATCTCTTTAATAATAATAATTTTTAAAGAAAAGCTTTGCTTTTTGAGATTTCCTCTCTAGTGAGGTGTTCATAAAGTCAATGCAGGCAACAAGGGAAAAAGAAAGGAAAATTGTACTGCTGCCAAATTTAAATTTTAAATTGACTTGACTCATCCATTAATTAACCCAACTTCCAGCATAATTATTTGTTTCTAACCTTAAGTCTGACAGATAGAATTCTTTCAAGTATGAGGATGTATCATAGAAAACATTGGTGTTTATGGACATTGGAATGGAATTTCTTTCGCCCAAGATTCACAGAAGTTCATGGCACAGGGTACATAATAATGCAAATTGCTTTAGCACCTTCTTCACTGGGCCTTCTACAGGACTGAAAGGTCAGGGTATTAGACCACTTTTTCATTACTAACATCACATAGACTGCAAAGGTGGCACTAAGGCAAAATCCCAGCAAAGTGGTGAATGATCCTTGCTCGAGGGCCAATTTAGAAAAAAATAAAAATTTACTGGGTGGCTTCTTTTCCTATTCAAAATGAAAACAATTGTATTGCATCCCATGAGGAAAATATATATTCTTCAAATTAGATGTGTTATTTTAGTGAATACAAGGTCAATGAGAAACTTAGCATTTCTTCTCAGCTACTAAAATATTAATATCTGGGCATATTTGAAGAGTAGCAATGTGGAGTCCACAAATATCAAAACTGGAAGTTATGGTCTGCATTTTAATTTGTTAAAGAGGCATCTCTAGCATTTGAAGTAATGCTATATATCTTCTTGATAACTAATATTTTACCCTTAGTATTATTCAGGAGCCCAGTGCATTCATTAAAGAGGAGACCATAGCAGAGATGACATATTTTCCAACCAGGAGGTAATAGTTCTGCCATGAAAACTCCAGCCTTCTGACTCCACATCTAGTGCTCTCCCTAAAGGAACTGCAAAGTTGCAGGGAGCCATTAGCAAATGCAGAAAAATATGTGCATTAATGTACTTATAGATGACCTCAAAGACAGTTAAACACATGAATAAGAGTGGCTCTGCATTACATTGTATAAGAGGCAGAACTTGTCTCTCATGTCCCCTCCCCTTCTGCTAGTTTGTCCCGCACCTACCATTCATATAGTATTCTCATTTATTCTAGAAGCCAGCCTTCCTAAGGAAAAGCCTCACTGTTTGAGTCTTTCCACAATATCTCTCTAAACTCCCTTTGTCCCTACTTCAAAATTAATTACTTTTATTTTGCCCTATTCCTACAACGCCTGCTTTCTGCAAAGTATGACAGTGAAGTAAACACGGGCTACCTTCAGGAAAAAAAAAAAAATTGGCTGGGTGTGGTGGCCCACTCCTGTAATCCCAGTATTTTGGGAGGCTGAGGCAGGTGGATCACCTGAGGTCAGGAATTCAAGGCCAGCCTGGCCAACATAGCGAAACCCCGTCTCTACTAAAAATACAAAAAATTAGCTGAGGGTAGTGGTGTGCGCCTGTAATCCCAGCTACTTGGGAGGCTGAGGCAGGAGAATCGCTTGAACCCGGGAGGCAGAGGTTGCAGTGAGCCGAGATAGTGCCATTGCACTCCATCCTGGGCAACAAGAGCAAAACTCCATTTTTTTTTTTTTAAAAGTGTAGTATCAATGTTAATGATGTGTTCTTTGATCAAATGTGTTTGAGTCTTTATTCCCAACCTTGAAGAAGCTTTATACTAAACTTAAGCATGTTAAAAGCTTAATATCCACTGCCTCTAAGGTAGCCAGACCAGTGTCATCTATCACTTGGACCACTCCAACAACCTTCCATCTGACCTGCCCACCAGCACTCTGTCCCCCCCCACACATTCACCACTTGGTTCCCAAAGTGCTCTCTTTCTGGTAGATTCTCGGAAATTAAATGATAGTGTTGGCACTGATTGGAATATAATCTAAACAGAGACAAGTGTGAAACTTTGATCAAACCCAGATTCCCAGAAATGTGTAATTTCTACTTTCTAAAAAAAAAGTAGGTTGTGAAAACTTTCAAGAAAACTGGGATATGAAATAGACATTGAAATATTTCAATAATAACAATAATGGTAATAATAGCTAACACATAGTACTTACTATGAGCCAGTAATTTTCTATGCCTTTTATCGATTTTAAGGTATTTAAATTTCGCAGCCACCCTCTAAGGTAGGTACTATTTCACACTCTTACTCATAAGGAAACTGAAGAACAGAGAGGTAAGTATCCTACTGAAGAACACACAGCTAATATGATGGATTCGGAAATGAACCAAGGAGGTCTAGCTCCAGTATGTAAGTAAATCAGAAAAGGGAAGTGTGCTCGTTATAAATGCATGACAGCCAAAGCTCTGTCGTTAGGATATAAAATGTCTTTCAGTTTTGCATTTTGTGTGCCTTTGAGCAGCAGATCCATGGGTAGAAAGTAAAGAGAATTAAATAGCGATTTTTCTTATTTATTCTAAATATTAACCTCTACAGCTGTCATGGGATGTACTCAGGCTTATAGTATTCCACTCTGCATTGTGATTTACACAAAAGGGAAATTGTGCTTTGCCAGGTTGACATCTCATTCATAAAAATTAGAGTCAAATGCAAAAACCTAATCTGCTTTACTCTTTTAAAGGTGTGATTTCTACTAACAAAATGCAAAATACAACTCTTAGCAAAACATGGCTCTAAATAGAATTTCAAAACCATACATTGATTACTTACATGAAAATTAGTCAGAAACCCATGGTATGTATGGTTTTAATGATGTGGAGAGAAAAAGAGTGGTCTAAAAATGGCAAGTAAAAAATACATTGAATTTTAATTAGGCTAAAAATAGTCAAGTTTCCTATTCACTCACTTGGAAATGATAAACTTTCCAAGATCTATTTTGGAGCATGGCAACTCTTTTCCATGTGTTCTAAATGGTCTCATTTCCCTATATGATGACTACCTTGGCACTCTGTGTACTTGTGCAACGGGAGGGATTTGTTCTGATACTGAAAGGAAACTTTGTGTGTACTTCCATGTTCAGGCTACACAGCCTTTTGCAAGTGACTTTTATTTACTATTTCTGATATTTTTAAATTTATTTACCATATTTGAGGTTATTTTCTTTTCTAATGTAATTTTAGCTCTTTTATTTACCGTTTTTAAATTTTTCATACGTTCTATATTTGAACATGCTTTAGTCCAAAGCTTTTTCCCTTTCATTGCTCCAGCTCATTTTAAAAATAATAAAAGAAAGAATATTGATCTCAAACCTTAACTGCTTACATTAGATTATCCAATTTCCCCATGAATTAGAAAATTGTTAGGATATTCTTTATTGAAGAGCCAAGATTATAGTAATGCAGGCTGATTTTATCTATTTGTTTTACTCCATCACTGTCCAGAATCTTCCAGCTGGCCAGATTTTGCCCCACATTAAATAAAAGAAAGGGTTGGGTTCCAGATATAATCACAATGATGACTAGTGGGCAACAGGTGTGGGAGATAAATGCACCATGGGTGATTCCTTGAGTTGTCCAGGACACCTGAAAATATAAGCTTATGCAGGAAAGAAAGCAAGTATGTCTGGTCTTACCATCATACTCATCTTACTCATATCCAAGCTGGAGGTGTTTTATTAATTATAATGTCTTCATTGTTTTTTGTTGTTGTTGTTGTTGTTGTTGTTGTTCCTTTTTATAATACTTGTTAAGTAGAGCTCCTGAATAGATATTGCTCAGTCTTTAAGTGAAAATCACGCATATGTTTTGCTTTTAACACTATTATCAGGCTTGTTGATACATGCCAAGCTATGTACAAACATGCATTACCTCATTTAGGCTCCACAGCAACTCTGAAAACTAGGTACTTTATCTCTCCAATTTACAGATACGAAGACTGAAAATCAAAGAAGCTAAATAAATTAATAATCATAAGAAATAAGAATAAAAATAATTACTATTATTACTAATAATAGTGTTAAGTTAAATTTAAAACTAACATTTATTGAAGGCTTAATATAAAGATTCTTGGATGAATCATTCCATTTAATTCTCATAATAATCATATTATTATGAGACTTACATGATTTATTGTTATACCCATTTTAACTCCAGGAAATGATGAGGCTTAGAGACATAGAGATCGTATAACCAGAAGCAGAGGCAGGATTTAAACCTAAAATACCTAACTACAGAGCTCACGGTCTGAATCACCGTCCTGTACTCCTACTGAAGGCAGAGCACACATTTTTACCCAGGGCCTGTTTGCTGAACAGCCTGTGATTTTTCAGGGTCTCACACAGCTTTTAATCTAAAACAGTGTTTCTCAAATCTGGTCTAATGATCCATGCTGATCCACGACAGGGTTTCAGGGTTTCACTGTCTGGCAGCAAAATAAAAAGATAGAAGATAATTTTAAGAGTTTTTCTTACCATTAAGTATGTTCAATTTAAAGAATCACACTTTGTTCTGGGATTATATCCTTTCCCTTCTGGATCAAAAATATCCCTCCTTTTTATCTAATGATGGTGATAGTTGATGATAGTATTTTTTTAAACTCTTTTAATTAACAATTATAAATTTCTTAACCCTATGTCCCCTGCCTCACACTGGAAAAGGAATTGTATTTATTTATCTGGAAAATTTTAAAATCTGGGCTCTTTTGAAAAAGCAAAAATGCTATTAGGGAATGAAGGGTGGTACCCAAAGCAACTTCTGTAAGAGTGTCCAAGATTAAGCCTTATGCTAGGCAGTAGCATTTTATGGTTTTTAAAGAATTTTCAAGGATGCAGGCTACACTTGAAAAAAAATGATGTTATTAGTGTGTGAATATATTTTTATAGAATAGCACTGTTCAGATACAAAACACTTAAACTTTGACTGAGTCATGTGCATGCAACCTACTAAGTGCTTACACATTCAGCATCTCATTTGATCTGCACCCAACACTCCGTGACACAGTGCTACTGTAACAGAAAGGAAATACAACAGGATATACTTCTTATTTGTATTATTCAGCCTCTCTTAGCCTCAGTTTCCTTTTAGGAAGGAATTGTTTCTATCTTAAAGGATTATTTCGTGGATTGTAAATAATGTAGGAAAAAATTTGGTCATGGCACAAGGCATATAGCAGTCAATAACTGCTATCTATTGTTGTAATGATTATGATCCTCATTTTACAATTGAGAAAACTACAACTCAGATTAAAGCATGAGTTAAAGTAGTTCATCGGGTTAAGTGATGAAGTTGGAGCTTGAGACAAATTCTATCTGCATCCCCCAAGCTTCTTTTGGTTATCCCTCACCCACAATTCTATATGCATCCCAAACTTTATCTTCACTATCCCACACCACAATTTTAGTAATGGTTAGAAGCTGAGAAATGCCACTGATTTAAATGTGCCTCCACCATTCTGTAGATATGTGTCTTTGTCCACATGGTCACAGCAAATAAACTTTTCAGTAGAAAAATCAAATAAAATTTAAAATGATTCATTGTACATATCAAGCCAATAAAAGTTGTATTAGAACAAATAGTATAAATTAAAATTGTAAAGATTTTCAGATGATCTGAAAAGTAGGATCCTACAGTGCATAAAGGAGGCCGTGGCTGAAGGTCACCAGTTTAAGGGGAAGGTAAAATTTGAAGGTATCTGTAAAAGATACCTCATTGTATAATAGGTGCATACCAGCAGATATATTTTTCAAAATTATAGATACCAATAGTCAGTGTGCTTATTTATGTTTATTTTGTTTTTGGTTTAAATTACCTAGAGAGTGACGTCATCTCTCTAGGGTAGAGCATTGTTTTAATTGTCAATGGAATATTAGAAAAAGTGGGTGTGTCACTGATTCCTTAGTAAAAAGCTTTATTTTCATCATAATTCTAAAGAATAAAGAGTTTCTGTCTTTTTAAAGAGAAAGCAGAAGTATGACATAGTTCAGTCCTCAAAGGGAGAAAATGAGGAAGGAAAAACAGTTTCTTTTCCTTTCTTTCAGAGGGCTTTGTTTTTCTCTTACTGTAACATACTCATTAGGGTCCCATCTCTTGTTTTGAGCTCATCAGAGAGTTGGATTTTAAATAGCTGTTTCTAATATATTCAGAGACAAGTAAATACTGAATATACACTGTGTTGTGAGAATGAGTATCACAAACTTAAAAGATTTAACAGTTATTAAGTTTCATATCTTCCTGTGATTTAGGGTGGAAATTTGCAGCAGAGAGATTATTACATGTTATGTAAGCCACCAGACAGAAAGGACAACAAAGTCCCAATCTCCAAAGGGAAGTTGAGTTATAAGAGACAGGAATACCAGTGAGAAGTATGAGAGAGTGGGTGGGAGATAATGTTTAGAATCTCTTTTGCTGCCCGCAATTTATGAAAATGGCTTGAAAATATTTATGGTCAAAGACCGAAATATTTCTTCAAAGAAGATTAGCTTTGCTCCATTAAAAGTAATGAGTAGAAATATTAAAAAAAAAAAAAGTTTTAAGTACCTGAGTATCTTGCCAGCAACTGACCACCACTGCTAAAAGTGAGGAGAGACACAGCTTTCATCATTGGGACTGCAGTTTATTTCAGGTAATGGAAATATTTTGGATGAAATAATAGATTGACTAATGACACAAATAAATCATTCTGCTAAGCCACAAAAGGGCAAAGGTCTTGGTACATAACCCAGGAGGGTGTGAAAGTCACTTTTTAATAGGCAAGCTGCAAAAAACCAGATTGGCCTGGTTCTGCTGAACAGCAATCATGGAAACTGATGTGTTGTGTCTTAGGGACTGAGGGGAGGGGGTGGAAAAGTTTTGGCTCCTCAGTATCTAATTAAGCAGGACTGTGCTTTGGACAGCCTGGTTTGTGTGTGTGAATCTGGGTAAGAAAGAGGTGTGGTAGAAGCTTGCCTAATGTGCCTACTAATTTTTAAAGTTACAATTTGCTGCCAGTCTTACCATATTTTCTCAAATAATTTTTCAAACTTCCCTTTTATCCTCATGACATGGAAGTTGATGACAGGGACAAGAATTTTTTTTGTTGTTGTTATTTGACAGATTTTTAAACCTCCCATGTCATCCCAACACACTGCTCTCCTTGCTGCACTCAAGTGGTGATTTTCTCACTTTAATCAGCAATTGAATCACCCAAAGGGCTTGTCAAAACAGATTGCTGGCCCCACTCCCAGAGTTTCTGATTCAGTCTAAGGTGAGGCCCAAGGATTTGCATTTCTAGTAAGTTCTCAGGTCATTTTGTTGCTGTTGGTCAAGCTATCAAGCTCGCATTCCTTCCCCGGGATCTCATTTGACATACTCTCTTCCCCATCGTTTCCACAGTTCAAGAGGTTTTGAGTGAAGCATTTCAGATTCTTTGCTTCATCACTACCCATGTTTCTAATATTTTCTTTTCTTCCAGTAATTTCTTTCCAATATTCCAAATTTATATGAGAAAGAACTGTGTAAATAAGAAAAAAAAGGTTTTTTTATTCCAGTTAAATGATGATAAATATAATAAGAGTCTTTATTTAAAAGACTATCAAGAACAGCAAGACATGTGAAACCTACCTTTTTCCTCTCAATATCTCTACTGATTCTTTGAGAAATACAGAGAAACAATGAATCTCTATTTACTTCAAATGGCATTCTTCTAACTCACTAAAGGTGAAAGTTCCAGGAAATATTTTTTCTTTCTAAAACAAATAGCAGAGTAAATAATGTCATTTTAAGTAGTATAAATAAATAAACATTATCAAACCATGGTATACAAAGAAATAAAGATTCTACCAATATAACTACTTTGAAAGCTACTGCTACTGGAAGAATAATTTTATAAAGCACAAGAATTGTTTTATTTCTTTCTAAAAATTGGATACAAGGCAGTAGGTAGAAGGATATTTATATTTTTGTTTTATATTGTTTTCTGTATTCATGATTAATTTCATCAGTAAGAATTTTTAAGAAACAGTAAAAAAAAAAAAAAGGTGTTAAAAAAGACTACAAGATTTAAGTTTGTTTATTCAACTCACCTATATTGAGTGCCTAGTCTGAGCTAAGTATTATTTTAGGCAATTATAATAAAGACAAGGCGACATTTCCCTGAAAGCCTCTAAATCACAAACTAGGTAATAAACAAATAAACAAATATAACTAAAAGATTAAAAAGAGTTAGGGTCTTGCTTTTTCAAGGGTCAAAACATACCATGAAGCTGAAATAGCTAAAGTACTACAGTACTGACACAGAAAAGGATAAATAGATTAAGGAAACAAAATGGAGTCTAGGAACATATTGGAATTTAGTATATGATAACATTGGCATTTTAAATCAGTGGCAAAATGACAGAAAATTCAAAGCAGATATCTACCTTCTATCATACTCAGAAACAAATATTGATACACTAGGAGAAACACAAGATGATACATTTGTTATAATCTAGGTGTTATAATCATAAACATAACACAAAACCCAAAAGCCAAAAGATAAAGAGAGAATGAGACTTGACTATATCTAAATATAAAATTTCTATATGGTGATAATTTCTGAAAATAATAATATGTCAACTAACAGCATGGAAAAAGTATTCACAATCAACTAACAGCATGGAAAAAGTATTCACGATGTATAGAACAAATAATATTCATTGAACACATATTCTGTACCAAGCACCATACTAAAAATTTACAATCACCATGTTATTTTTAAGACTTAAAAACTATCATTTTTTTCTTGTATATGTTAATTAGCTTGATTTAGCCATTCCACAATGTATACATATATCAAAACATAAAGTTGCATACCATAAATATATATATAATATTAATTTGTCAATTTTTAAATTTTTTAAAGAAATAAAAACTATCAGATGTGTACTCTTATTATCTTCATTTTATACATAAGCAGTCTGAGATTGGAGACATTTGGTAAAGTGCCAGTCATCTAGCAAGAAAGAGGCAAAACTGGGATTCAAATTCAGATGTCTCTGACTCCAAAGTTATTAAACACTGAGGTAAAAAGAGTTTCTATAAATTCAAAATAAAAAGGACAAAATGTAGGAAGTCATGGGAGATGAACCAAATGGCCAAGGTAGTTATGATAAGACATTTAGCCTCACTAATAATCAAAGAGAAGCAGAAAATTTAGTATTACTTGTGAAAATTACAAATCCCATATGCTTTGGCTCAGCATTTCTACATATTTTCTACCCTACAGAAATGCGAGTCTTTCTGTACATATCTTTAGGTGCATCTAGAATATTCTTTGCAATATCATTTGTAGTATTTCAAAGACGGATATTGCCTAAATGCCAATCAATAGGGAAATACTCAAATGTATTATGCCATACACCTATTTCAAAAGAATGAGGCAGATCTATATGTACTGACATGAAAATATGGTCATCATATATTAAGTAAAAAGAAAGTTTCAGGAAAAAATATATATATATAGATAAAAAAGATCCTGTTGTGTAAAATTATACATTCTACACATGCCTATGTGCACAGAAAAATGTCTAGAATGGTAAACCTGAAATTATTAACTGTTTCTACTTCTGAGAAGTTATGTTGGAGAAGTAGAATGGGTATGAGGGAAAACTTTTACACATAAAATAAATTACAAAACAAAAGTTATCTCCAGTTTAGATTTCATAATTTAAAATATGTATTTTGTTAAAGGCAATCAGAAAAAAATATAATGGAAAATATTTTAGAGCAAATTTTAATGAAAAAGTGAAAGACATTTAAAGACATTTGAACTCAAACAGTGTAGACCAGTTGTTCTTGAAGAGGATCTCAGAAATCCAGGAAAATACTTCTCACTTATATCTGACTGAAGAATATCAGTGCCCTTTAGGGTCAGGCTTTGCTTTCATGCCAATATCAGGCCACTGATAATAAGGTCTATCCAAATTCCATTTCTGTTTTCATCCTCCATCCCTACTCTACTGTTTTAAAGCAAACAGTTACCCTGGAGAAAAAAATTCAAGTATCCCCAAGTATCTTGATGACTTAAGGATAACCTCAATGGATTCAGAAATAATTCCATGGCCATGTTCATTTAGGAACTCTTTGCAGGATGCAGTATTTGGTTAAGGGAAGCCCTACAGTGTGAAATATCTGTCCCAAGCAATTGCTATTTGAGTCACCTCTGTATTACAGAAGAGTTTTACTCTTTTCATTATTGTTCTAAAAGATCTCAATGGACATGACTGTTTTCATTAAAATAAAAATAGGGCAGAAAAACTTGTTCATTCATAAATGCGATAAATATCTGTCCACTGATCAGCCCAAGTCTAGTTTCCTTCCTATCAAGTTCTTGTTTATTAAGACCTGTTTTTAAAAATATGATTTCAGATTATATGTTAGCTTTATGCTTCTACCCGTTTTAATAAACATATGATAAACTCAGTGCTGTGCTTAATCTATGCCACTTTGATATAATTACTGGACTGTACCAATAAACTATTTGCCAAGTTTGGAATTCAATGTTTCCCATTTGATAAATGGTTGAAATGGTAAATCCTTTCAAAACAACTGGAAGGTAGACATCATTCAAAATGCTTAGGGTTTTTGTTGTTGTTGTTGTTGTTTCCTTCTCCATAAATGACTTTTTGCAGTTTAAACCACTATCAAATTTATTTGGACTGCTAACCCTAGTCCTTTCCTGTCTATTCCAGATGACCCCAGGAGTATGCAGGCTTGTTATTTCTTCCCCATAGCTAGTTTGAGAGTAATGAGTCAGCCTTTTTCTAGCACATCCATAGTGCCTCAGGACCCTGCATTAACTGTATCCACACTGTTTTCAAGCACAGAAATGATGGGGCATTGCTGGAGCATGATCAGATAAAAGTCCCCTTCCAACTATCAAACCCTGACCTCCTTTTATTCATCCGAGGAGTTCTCCAGTGCTCTGCAGAGTACTGACACATGAGTAGTATGCCTGTTTGACATCCCCTCTCATCTGGCTGGGACCTGCTTACACAGAAGTTCCCAGCAGCCCTCAAGCCCAAGGGAGATGGAACCTAGCAATTCCCTGTAACCAGCATCGCCTGTCCCCTCAGTGGGGTCAGTACCCAGACTCTGGAGTCAGAGATTCTAAGATCAAGTCTTGGTCTTGCTAGTTACTGCCAATATGGCCTACAAAAAACAATTTAATTTTCTCATGCTTCAGTTTTCTCACATAATCAATAGGGATGATCCTAGCTCTCAGATTTACTGTGTCAATAAAGACTGAATGATTAAGGTTCTCAGCACATGACTAGTGCAGAATAAGTGCTCAAATAGTGATATTGTGTACTTTCTAAAATGACATGTACGTATAATATATATATATATATATATATACATGGCCTGGCAATTTGAACATCTATCATCTTTGCTTTCAGAATTCTGCACTTATCCTAACCTGGGAAATGGGTCTTCCCTTTGGAACGTAATGCTTAGATTAAACTGGAAATAAGCCTGCTAATGGGTCTTAAACTTTCTGCTCTTCCCAATGTGCTATTGCTGGACTCTGTATTGCTATAGTCCTTTCTCATCCCTGCCTCCCGTAGGTTTAGCTACCTTGTTCTCATGACCAGAAAGGGTAAAAGATCAGTATAAATCCCTTGTTGGAAATGAATTATGACAGGGTTAACTTTAATCATTGAGGTCACTTGTACTGTCTAGCTTCTATCTTCTTTGATCTCTTTCCTTTCTTTAAGGAAAATTTGCATATGTAAGGTGGTTCTTATTCTATAAGAAATAGAAACAGATATATTCTAGCAAGTGTTGAAAACCTTACTTGCCAAACTCTAGGAAATAGAATTTCATGAGAAATAAATATATTGTCTAACACATGACTTGTAATAGAAATGATGTTTCCAACAAAGCATATTTTATACACTAATTTTCATGATGGCTTATTAAAAATGTACAACTTCTCATATAAAAAATAAACAGATAAAAGCAGTCTTGTGGTAATTTGACAAATCCACGTGAAAATGTCACACTAAAGCAAAAAGTGGAGTACATATAGCAATGGAAGGTTTAATCTCTGACCCTGACAAGTTTTACAGTTAAAGTTTAAATCCAGATTTCTTAAACAAACTAACAAAAGCAGAAATGACAAATAGGTTTCTTTTCATTTGTCTGCTCTAGATCTCTGCTTTGAGAAGGATGCTGAGGTCACATCTAGGTGCAGTGGGATTTAGTGACGTGTTAGAAGGCAATATCTATCATGGCAATACAGTGGGATAGCATGGATTTGTACCATGTAGTTACTATCCCTGCTTGCTTTTGGATCACACAGACATCCTTTTGTATAGTCAAATATGATATAATTTTGTGGAGAAGAAGACACTAACATTTGGTGGAAGAGTACAGAAGATTAATCTGAACCAAGTGCTTTTCAAAGCACTTCGCATGTACTCACTCATAGAATCATCATAACAACACTATAAATATATGCTGTTATTAGCCCCATTTTCCAAATGGGGACATTGAGGCACAGAAACCGTCAGTAACTTGCCCAAGTGATACAGCTAATAATGAGCAGAGCTTATTGACAGATCTGTCAGGAAGTCTGACCCCACTCTGTGTCTTTACCATTTGTATTAATCTGCCTCCAAAATTTGTTGTGCAAAAAAAAAAGGGTAAGTTTTCATTAACATCTTTCTATGGCATGCATTTTGTAAACCTAGCACCACAGAACGTTCATGTAACAAGTGATCTTGCTCATTATCTGGACCAAACTTCTGTCTGTTAAAGGATCCTGTCCTTAATACCCAGTACCTCCTCAGGATCTCCCAGCTCTTCCCTTGTTGAGCAGCTCTGGAAACTCTTTGACATATTGAACCAAAATCTCCCTACCTCTGATTTGCACCTTTGGTGGAGCAACACAAACCAATCTACACTGTCTTCCACAGAATGACAATCAACATCTTGTCAGTGAAATATCTCCACCATGGGTGAAATTCGATGAGAAAAGAGATAGCAGATTTTTAAAATAACCCATAATTGGATAAAAGTCATTTTATTTGAAAACTTTTTCCCTCTAAAATAACGTGATATATTTTGAAAGAAGAAGGTGTGAGGTCAGGTGTCCATTATGTAGCCAGACAGATGGATACGTTGTTGTTTTACCATTGCCATAGAAACAAGTGCTATGTTTATCTCATTCAGTGAGGAAGAATTTCTCGGGTCTTTCCCAAAAGTTGTGATATGTGCTACACTGAATATGGCCCACCATGTCTATCTGGACAAAATAAATCCCCTTTTTACCGGGGAGGAGTGCTACACAGGGAAGAGGGGAACTCTACTTGAGCATTTCTTCCTATGAGCTCTGTCAATTTCTTGTTATTTGAGATTCACAAATTCTCTTTAATATAACAATCTATTAATGTGCTATATTCATGTTTGGAGATAATGCTAATTGTCAAAGAAATTAGGCTTCTAGTTCTAACCTCTAGAGAACATGGGAAAAGACCAAAGAGGAGTAATTACAGAGATGTGGTTTAATATAAAGGTTTTATATCAAACCGGATTCAGCCATACTCTAGGCCATGAAAGTGGCTTTTGTAAAGACGGTGCTGAATAAAATATAGCCTATCAATGGGTTCACAAAGATCAGTATTTAACCTTAGTTTTAGTTGAAATCATATTTGTAGGCCCATTCATTTGCATACCAATAAAGCTGAATCTTAGCTTTAAATGACTTAATGTAAGACCTGAAACAGTGTGGCCTTGGAAAGGGCATCACATAAACTATTAGGACACCCGAGTTCCATCTCCAGCTCTGCCAACAGGTTTTGTGACTTTGGTAAGCTCATAATATTTACTGAGCAACTGTTTGGTTTTGAGAAGTTGAGCTGGGCATTTTACCTTATTTAATTTTCATAGCCACTTTCTAAGTTAGGTAATACATTTACCTTGTACAGATGAGAAAATTTAGTCTGAAGGGCTAATGAACAATGCCCAAGATCACTCAGCTGATAAATGGCAAGGCTAGAATGTGATGACTCAAGCTTTTCTCTGCATTAAACTATTCCTATCACTTCACCTCCTGAGTTTTAGTGTGTATCTTTGTAGCCACGAGGTCGACATGCTCTGCACATTCTTTGCCACATTGACATTCTTTGATTTCAGGGTAAATATTTCAATATAATGTCCTGTTCTTTTTATTATGATTATCCATTTCACTGACTGCTGACAGACCTTTTTCTTAATTTGTGTCATCTATATTGAAAATATATCTCAATCATATTTACCAAAATATGAAATCTCTACTTAAATGGGCTTAACACACTGTATCAGCAGGATATAATTTCACATTTGTGTTATCTGTAAAATAAAGCAAAATACTGCAGAATTTGACTCCTACAGTCCAAAACTACAGATACCTTTGCTGACAGTAGAGGTCACTGGCACCTTCCATCCTCTCCATCCAGGAGATGCTCCCCACAAAGGGTGGTTCTTAAATTTGTTTCCCAAAGGGTCAGGGGATGGTAGACCAGAAGCTCCTACAAGATTTTACCAAATTCCTCTTTACTTTTCCTGTCACTTTTGACCTGGTGCCTACAAATAAAGTTACTATCGTATTTGTGGAAATGGATCCCAAAATAACTGGCACTAAAAAAACCTGTAAAGAAGTTGTTGTTATGGTTGTTTGAACATTTAAGAATTGATTATGAGCATGTGAATCATGTAATCAAAAAGTCCTCGGTAATAAATAGGGACATCGCTTGTCAAATGAGTTGGAAAAGTTTTGCCTGCATATATCCAGAGCTTCATCCCTGACAAAGGCTCTTAGAACCCTCCCTGATGAAATACACGTTTTAAGTTCTTGAGCGCATTTCTTAGGAGTTGACAAGTTCTCCATAAGGTGGCGCAGTGTTAACACTCTGTTAATGGCTTTTTGCCTTTTTTAAAAAGAATTTTCTTCAACTTGTTTGAAAAATCTCAGGATGGACTTGCTTTTATACATAGTGTTTTCACATACACTCAGCATATTTACTCCATTTGTAGAAATATATTTTGAAATTAAGTAATTTTCAAGCTTTTATATCTTGTTTTGTGTTGGTTTGCTAATTTTAGACTCACTCATAATGGCTTCTTCCTTCAAATATTTAAATTATACATGTCTAATCATTTTTTCTTCCTCAGAGATAAGTAGAAGCAGGTATAAATTAAAAACTTACCTTTAAATATTACAGATGTGTTTTGTAAACTTCTTGGAAGTGAAAATTTGCAGAATCAAGATTATTGGTGTTGGATTGCTAGGAGCTGGTATCACAGGTGCACTCTTTGCAGCTGAACCATAGTAGTAGCTAAGTAAACAACAAGAAGGTCACATGTGCAAATTATGCAGATGATTCAGACAAAAACATCAATGCATTTTAGTTATTTGAATATATCAAGTAGGTGTTTTGCCATCGCATTCAGATATTGTTCTTGTCTGATACCCTTTAGCAATTGTTACAAAACTCTGTCTCTCGTGTGTGTGTGTGTGTGTGTGTGTGTGTGTGTGTGTGTGTGTTTAGCCCAAATGGAAATGCTTGGTTATAATTATTGTGAATTCTAAAAATACTGAAGTGGCCAACATTGACCAAATTGACAAGACTTTTTTTTTTTTTTTTTTTTTTTTTTGAGACGGAGTTTTACTCTTGTTGCCCAGGCTGGAGTGCAATGGCATGATCTCGGCTCACTGCAATCTCCGCCTCCCGGGTTCAAGTGATTCTGCCTCAGCTTCCTGAGTAGCTGGGATTATAGGCATGCACCACCAGGCCCGGCTAATTTTTTGTATTTTTAGCAGAGACGGGATTTCACCATGTTGGCCAGGCTGCTCTCGAACTCCTGACCTCAGGTGATTTACCTGCCTCAGCCTCCCAACTTGCTGGGATTACAGGCGTGAGCCACCACACCTGGCCTAAATTGACAATTCTTTTCACTAATTTTTCTTTAAAGGGAAAACAAAACCATATACATAGAATATGTAGTAAATGCTGTCTAACCAAGTCATTATTTTTCAAAATAAAGCTGATTAAATATTCTATTCTAAATAAAAAAAGATTCCACCTCACATTTTGATATATTGTTGTATTTAGCTAAAGTGCAACAAATGATGAACTCTATCATTTATGTTCTGAAGCAAATTATTGCATTTAATTATATTGCCAGTCTGATCTCTTCAGAAGATGAGATTTTTAGTGATTGAAACTGAATTGCCTATTTGTGCTGTTTAAAGCACTGCTCTATCAGCAGCATGTGGTCATTTTGGATAGGTTAGCTCCTGGATAGCATCTCTTGAATGTACTTATCATGGTAATATTTAAACACTGTTCATGGTGTTTACATCTCGGTTAGGTTATAAAGATACATAGCTGCATTGGCTTTGCATTTTCCATTAACTTTATTTAATAAGGTCTTCGTCAAGCCCTAAACCCTAATAGAGGAGGTTTATCTGGTCAGATTGTCTGAATGAATTTTAAAATCAAAGTCTCAATTTTTTGCTTTGATGTTTTCATTTTTGATACCTTAACCACAAATCCTAACCTAAAATTATTCTCCTAGAAAACTTTCTATGGAAAATAATGATTAACTTCATCTCTTAGTCTCCAGGGTAATTGTCTTTATGTTATTTAACAGCAACTTCCTAAGCTGAGTATTTTAAATGGTTTACAAATTCAGAATGCTCAGGAAACTGGAAAATTCAGTAGTTGAGAGGACCTCATTCTCCCTTTTCTATCAGATATCCCTTTTTTCTCTCTACCTTCCCTAGTTGAGAAAAGGGAATAGACTTTAGAACTAAGATAGTCATTTGAAAAATATGTTATTGCCCTTACTTACAAAAAAAAATTGGTCTAAGAATACTTTCTCATCATTCAGATTTTAAGATTCCATCTGAATAAAGAGTTCAGCAGCTAAAATAATAAATGGTGATTATCCAACCCCTCCACTGTAAACATGAGAACATGAAGTCACAAAAAGCTAAATGATCAACTAGACATCCTTCATTGAATAATTGGCAGAAATGTAACAATTAGAAATTCTGTATCTTTTTTGTCATGTGCTTTAACTATATTTCCATTTCCCTTCCCAAAAATAAGGAAATAACTTAAATCCAACGTAATACCTCTTTACTTGAGAATTTTTATAATCACAGCATTACAATTCTCAGGGGGAAAAAATGGTATAAAAATGTAAATCTTAATAAAAGTCCCAGGGAGTAAAACTTGAAATTCATACACACACACAGACACACACACACACACACACACACACACACACACACACACTTCTTCTGGATTGAATTATTGCAATTATTATCAACTCACAATTGGCCAAGACAACATAACTACATTATGAATTCTAATAATTCCTAAGTAGTTAAAGTAAAGCTTTTTTTTTTCCAAATGCTTCTCTTAATGAGATGAATGAAGTATTTTGTTTTGGGTTTTTTTTTTCTGTTTTTCTTTATTTTAACTAGTTCATGTATCCATGCTCAAAGATTCTATTTTGCAAGAAGTACACAACTATCACCCTCACTTCTATTCATAATTTTGTTTTTTCTGACCTCATTGCTGAAAAAACATGTTTATATTTAAAAGTAGGTGAAATTGGAGTTTTATTATAGTTATTTCCCTCGGTTCTATAAATTCCTCCCTAGTTATATGTCAAAAATCACATGATGATTGATCATTAAGAATTATGTGTAATTTTTCAGCTTAACAACTTATTTAGACCCTCCTACAATGTTGTTGAAAGCAAAGAACTGGAAACCACCAGACTTGCACA
This sequence comes from Homo sapiens, assembly GCF_000001405.40. NCBI lineage: Eukaryota > Metazoa > Chordata > Mammalia > Primates > Hominidae > Homo > Homo sapiens. Next base: position 93,548,340 of record NC_000007.14, on the reverse strand, counting down.
AAGCTTTGTTAACTGGTCATTAGAGTCATTCGCTTTGCCAACAAGTCCTAGTGTTTGGAGCCAAGAGGTTCTTTATATCCCCAAAAGATGCTCTATCCAAGATGAATGAGAGGTGGGCTATTGTTTTGTTTGTTCTTTTGTAAAGTGGGAGAAGGGTGTTTATGAACAGGAGTTAGAGAAAAGAGAGCTCCGCACACCTCAGACAAGTTGTAAGACAGATCAGTCTTAGAAAAGAGAATATACAGAGATTAAGAACTCGATAATTGACACTCAAAACTACTTATATGCCCATCCCTTAGAAAGTATTTCCATAGACAGGGTTATGTGTACACCCACTTGAAAACCACTGTCTTAGGGAAGTCTCAGGGAAGCAATGTTCTGAAGCATGAGGAATGTGGCCTTGAAATAAACATCTGTTCTCGTGCTTAAGCAATCAGCACAGTCCCATAAGCTCCTTTTTTAGGGGCAAACTACCCCCCGTACAATGTTCTGAGGCCTTTGATGAGATGGCACAGCTGAAAGTCCATGATACAGAGGTCAAGTGAATTCAGAAACAGCCCATTAAGTTACTGGGAAAGTAAGTTACTGGGACCAATTACTTGCTTTGAATACTCAGGTGTGACTTTCCAAATGTGAGGAAACATAATTGCGTGGGATTATCTATTGCTGTGATTGAGCTGGGAGCACCTGCATTCTAATTCAAACCCCACATGGTTGACCTGTGTGGACTTCTAGTAGATCACCCATATCTCTGCTTTCCTGTCCATAAAACAGAGGAGCAAATTAAGTATGGCCTGCTTCAAATTCTCTGTTGAATGAGTATTAGTACAAATGTGGTTTTCATGGACAAAGCCACCTACAAAAATTATTCACATTAAATAGTATGCTTCTAATTTTTAAGGCATTGGAAATTTTAAGTAACAAAAAAGTAAATTTGTTAGCATGATAATAACTGACACTTGCAATGCAATTTCAAGTACTTTTCATTATTTGTTTATATATCCCCCAAAGTTTTCTGCATTCAGAAATTAGAAATCAATAAACTGCAGTGCTATCTATAGCATTATGTATAACATAAACTATAAAGGGGACTGTGATCTATAAATTAACATAATGTTTTTTGTGACCCTAACTACCAGCTAAAATATGCACTCTCTAGCTTTGATCCAGATCTACCAAGAGTGGAGTTCCCACAAGTCAGATAACCTGTCCTAAGAGGTCCGTACCATGAGATCAAGGGTCTTTTTCCTTGCTTTTTGGCATTTGCTAGAGTCAGGTGAGATCTGTCTCCATTCTGCACTTTCTTCTCAGTGCCTTCTGAGAGCTTGTCCCTTCATATACTCACATAATTCCTTTACCCGACTGTGGGAGGATAAAGATGAGAATGAAGGCATACACAGCAGTTTATCTTGAGGAAGAGAACCCAAGTCTGCATCCAGTTTCTCCTCCAATCTAATAACATCCTTTGAATTAGAAGTCGTGCAGGGTGTGGTGGCTCAAGCCTGTAATCCCAGCACTTTGGGAGGCCAAGGCAGGTGGATCACTTGAGCCCAGGAGTTCAAGACCAGCCTGGGCAACATGGCAAAACCACATCTCTACCAAAAAAAAAAAAATACAAAAATTATCCAAGTGTGGTCATGCGTGCCTGTTGTCTCAAGCTACTCAGGAGGCTGAGGTGGGAGGATCACTTGAGCCAGAAAGGTCGAGGCTGCAGTGAGCTGTGATCCCACCACTGCACTCCACCCTGTCTAAAAAAAAAAAAAAGAAAAGAAAAAGAAAACAAAAAGTCACTCACTCATGGGCCCAGCTTCAGGACAAATGTTGGGAAGCCACCATTTCAGGCTCTGCGGCCAGACAGTCTGGGTTTGACTTCCAGCTACTGCCACTTAAAAACTGTGTGGCTTTAAATACATTATTTAACCTTTATGTAAATCAGTTTCTCAATGAGGATCATAATAATAGCGTCTTTGTCACAGTTCTCTTTAAGATAAAGGGTAATCAGTCACATAAAAATAGTATAACCATATAAGTTGTCATTCAAACTGGTATGCTTTTGTGAGTGAACAGGGATGTTATTAAAATTATATCAGGACAACAGGTGTGAGCTAGTACTTTCTTGGGAAATACAGGACATAGGGGTTTGCTCTATAATAAAACACCTGGCATGATACCTGGACTTTGCATGATACCTGGACCTTGTTAGAGTTAATGGGCTATTAACATCCTATTAATAAAATACTAATATTGCCTATGGGATTATGGTAAAAAAATTTCTTAGAATATGGCATTCTCTTTCATATTAGCATTTTCTGAATTTGTTAATTTGCAACAGTATTTTTTTTGTTATTTTCTTTCAGTAAGGGGAGAGAGTACTCAAATATATATGTGTAGGAGAGCTTCTTACCACTATTTCACTTGTTTAGCCCCTACTTTAATCCCTAATTAGGCTTAGTTGCTAGAGAAAACTCACTTTGTCCAACAGAAACCTAAGCATGGAGTGTAGTGAGGAGATTCCTTGCTTTTGCTCCAATCTCCACCCTTGTCAGATGATGAAAAAGGGGTGATATGAGGTCGATCCCATGGTAGTAGCAGGACTAAAGTTTAACTTCAGGAAGTTGACAACTATTTTTGTTTAGATTAAAAAAAAATTTAATACTGTGTCAAAAATCCAGCAAAAATAATTGGTAATTCAGAAGTCCCATGAAGTAATCTCTATACTTCTTGCCAGCATAGGGTCTTTTTAAAACATGTTCTCAGGGTCCTGGCTAGCCTAGCATCAGCTGCCCCAAAAATGGGGCTTCCATCATTTTTTGGCAAAATATCATCGAAGTCCAGCAGGCAAGGTTGTTTGACCTGGATCTTTTAATTCAACATAATCCTAATATGAGGACATACCACGTTAAATTTCTGTTAAATACAACTTCTTAACCAGAATTCACTTTGTTTGAGCCTGTCTATCTAGAGGCAGAAATTACACTGGATAGTTGAAATTCTTTTAATATTTATTGCCCTTCTAAGTCTAAATTTAACAAAACCAGCACTCTACAGCCAGAGGACAGGATTTTTAATCTATGTAACATGAAAAGCAACAGCATATGTGAAAGTCATATTTTATTCAGGAGCCGACTAAGTTCCTTTATTCCTGATAATAATATCAACTGGAATAGCATTTGTGTAAGGCCTCTGTGTTTACAAAGTAGGCCAAGATACATATATCACATGAGTACCTTATCCTTCCCATCCCACCAACTTAACATGCAGCAGGCCCAACCTTATCCATGAAGCAGCCTAACGAAAAAGTCCAAGCAGTAGTACCATAGAGCATGTTTTCTGCCCTTCTCCACAGTCTGGGGAAAGCGTGAGACAGCTCCAGAAAAGATGAGTTCATATTCAGCCTGGGAAAGCTGCACAGTGGCCTTTCCTGCTGCTCAGCATGAAATGAGCCATGAGCAGCATGAAATCACTGACCACAGGTGTAGAGATTCACAGTGACATAAATATCTTTGCTGTTGAGCAGTTGGAGGAAAGCTGTGGGAAGATTTGCCATAAGCTCCTCCTGGCCAAATCTGCCTTTATAAAGAAATGGTCATTTAGGTCACACTGTTGCTGAGAAGCTTGGTAAGTCCCATTCCAACTTCCAATTAAAAGACCTACGGAGAATTAGAAAAACATGTAGATGAGTCTATATCTCAGACCATTTGAAGGAGAAAAGCAAAATACCACACAGTGAAAAACTAAAATCTTTTATGTGTGAAAAAAAACCTTCATAAACAAAATTTACAAAGAAAAATAAAGGCAAAATCACAATCTATATAATAGATGTTATTAAAAATACATCTAAGATGTTTTAAAATTCTTTCAAAAATGACAAACTAATATGAAAATATGCAAAGAAAATAGAAAGCAAATACCAAGGGGAGCAAAAACATATGAAAAATGTTCAAATTTACTAATGATGAGAGATGTAAATTAATGTAATTAGTACCATATTTGCCTACAAACTGGAAGACTTTTTAAAAAATTGTGAACACCCAGCCTTAGCTAGTATATGGAGACTCTATCCCTCTTGATTTTAATTTTTTAACCCTTCTTCCATTTTATTAATATTTGGTATCAGAAGAAATTTTGTTTTTCTTTTATTCATTAATTTTGGCATTATTTTTTTTAGTTTCTTATCAATGTAAGCAGGATATAGTTTTTTTTAACAAAATTAAAAGTTACTATCTCTTAACGGAAGAGTGTATTCCAACTACATTTATGGTCATAATTGTCATGATTGGTCGTAAGTTATGCTGCAAATTTTTCAATTTCTATTCTGCTTTTTTATTTTGTTTGTATGTTAAGCAGTTTATGTCTTGTTTACTTTTAATTTCTACTGAAATATAAAAGGCAGAAGTACTGTAGCAATTATTATCACATACAAATATACCCTAAGTACTAATTGTAATAATTACTGAGGCCAGTAACAGAAGAAAAAATACAATTAAACAATAATTTAAAATATTAAATATGATAGCTTTAACAATTTGATAGACTAATGTGTGTTATAATTTTGGTTTAAAAAATATTGGACCTGAAAAAAAACTCATTGGAAAAAAATCTTAGCCAAAAAAACTAGTTACAGTATGATCCCAAATGCACAATAACTGTACATTCTTAGGTGTGTGTGTGTGTGTATATATATATATAATCATGGGCCATACAATGACATTTAAGTCAAATATGGACTGCATATACAACAGTGGTCCCATAAGATTATAATGGAGCTGAAGAATTCTTATCATCTAGTGACGCCATTGCCATGCTCACATCGTAGCCTTACTTTCCATGCTTGTGGTGATGCTGGTGTAAATGAACCTACTGCACTGCCAGTTGTATAAAAGTGTAACATATACAGGCCACGCACGGTGACTCATGCCTGTAATCCCAGCACTTTGGGAGGCTGAGGTGGGCAGATCACTTAAGATCAGGAGTTCGAGACCAGCCTGACCAGCACGGTGAAACCCGGTCTCTACTAAAAGTACAAAAATTAGCCAGTTGCCATGGTGGGCACCTGTAATCTCAGCTGCTCTGGAGGCTGAGGCATGAGAATCACTTGAACCTGAGAGGTGGAGGTTGCACTGAACAGAGATCGTGCGACTGCACACCAGCCTGGTATGTATAACTATAGTCCTATATACAACTATAACTATAGCCCCAGAGCAAGACCCTATCTCAAAACAAAAAACAAAAACCAAACAAAAAATGTGGCATATACAATTATGTGCATTACATAATATGTAACAATAAATGAATATGTTACTGGTTTATGTATTACTATACTATACCTTTTATTATTATTTTAGAATGTACTCCTTCTACTTACTTAAAAAAAAAAAATCAGTGAACTGCAAAACCATCTCAGGCAGGTCCTTCAGGAAGTATTCCAGAGACAACATTGTTATCATTGGAGATGACAACTCCATGTGTTTTATTGCCCCTGACGACTTTCCAGTGGAATAAGATATGAAGGTAGAAAACAGTGTATTGATGATCCTGACCCTGTGGGCTTAGGCTAATGTGTGGGTTTGTGTCTTAGTTTTTAACAAAAAAGTTTAAAAAGAAAAAAATTAATTTAAAAAATCTTATAAAAGAAATAAAATATTTTTGTACAAATGTACAATTTGTGTTTTAAGCTGTTTTGTTAAAAAAGAGCCAAAAAGTTCAAAAGATTTAAAAGCTCATAAATTTTAAAAGTTACAGTAAGCTAAATATAAATTATTGGAGAAAGAAAAATTTTTTTCATAAGTTTTGTGTAGGCTAAGTGTACAGTGTTTATAAAGTCTACATAGTGTACAGTAATGTCCTAGGCCTTCACATTCACTCACCACTCACTCATTGACTCACCCAGAGCAACTTCCAGTCCTGTAAGCTCCATTTATAAGTGCCCTACACAGGTATACCATTTTAAAAATCTTTTAAACTATATTTCTACTGTATCTTTTCTATGCTGTGATATGTTTAGATACACAAACACTTGCCATCATGTTACAGTTGTCTACAGTACCCATTACAGTAACATGCTGTATAGGTTTGTAGCCTAGGAGCAATAGGGTATCCCATCCAACCAAGGTGTGTAGTAAGCTATATCACCTAGGTTTGTGTAAGTACACTGTGTGATATTTGCACAATGACAAAATCGCCCAAGGATGCGTTTCTCAGAACTTATCTTTGTTGTTAAGCAACATATCACTGTATATATTTGTATTCATAGAAAAACAGACTGAGAGGTAAATATATCAAAATGGCAGCAAAGATTGTCACTTATTTATTAGTTTTTGGTGACTTTTTCTCTATGTATTTTTTTCTAATTTTCCAAATTTTATGTAATCAGCCATACTGTGTTTATATCCAAAAAAAACCAGCTACTAATATGAATTTTAACATAATGCTTAGCAATTAGTTTCTCAGAAAGTAAAAACATCACAGATTTGTCTAATGCCCTATAGCAGACTGTAGGGATTATTTAGAAGTCTGGAGATCCAGTTTACCGTGGATAGCCACAGACCAAACTCTTTAAGAAGGGTGAATAGTTCCAGCCACATAGCTCTTGAAATTTGCACATGGACAAATGGATAGGATGGAACTTGAATTGCACTCAGCAAAACTTTCTTTGTACGTTAGCACATAAGTCACAATCTTGTGGTGTCCTCTAGCCCATAGAATCATATACCAAGAGAACATAAAACACCTCAGCAGCTGATTTTTTTAATAATAAAAGTATTCAGTATATTTTTCTGAAGTCAATAGGAATTTAATGCAAATATAGAAGTGAATGTATCTTCTCCCAGTTTCTAGCACTTAACTTCAATTATGTTGCTCTTTTACCATAAAGATAAAGGCCGGGTGCGGTGGTCACTCCTGTAATCCCAGCACTTTGGGAGGCCGAGGCAGGCGGATCACCAGGTCAAGAGATAGAGACAACATAGTGAAACCGCATCTCTAATGAAAATACAAAAAAATAGCCGGGAGTGATGGTGGGTGCCTGTAATCCCAGCTACTCGGGAGGTTGAGGTGGGAGAATCGCTTGAACTTGGGAGGCAGAGGTTGCAGTGAGCCGAAATCGTGCCACTGCACTCCAGCCTGGCGACACAGTGAGACTCCATCTCAAACAATAATAATAATAAGTTTAGTGTTTCATTTACAAAGTCATAATTTGACTTTGATGCTTTGGGATTTATAATCCAATTTGTATGTCTTGTTCAGCCCAGTGGAGTGCATTTGCGTGGCAATCATATTTTACAAATTATAAACCAAAACATATCAGTATTTTTTCAGTCTTTGTAAGGCTATAGTGAGTTCTCATGCCAAATCACTCATTTGTCATTTTTCTTAATGAAATTTAATTTTTTGCTATTAATATTGAACTATTTTCTACTGAATCCTGATTGATTATGAGTGGGCAAAGAGAGATGCTGAATTAAGTTGATTTACAGAGAAATGTTAATGTTTATATGCTCCCATTCTCTGTTTCTACCACTTAAATATAATAAAGATGTATAACTTTTTATACATATAAAATATAATATATAAATATAATATTATATAATATAAATATAATATTATATAATATAAATATATAATATATATAAAATATAATATATAAAATATAATAAAGATGTATAACTTAGAGCTGTCATAAAGTTTGAGCATATTTTAAAATTAGGACAGTTAGAGATAAAACAAATACAAATTATTTAAAAGGAATAAGAAAAGATAGAGTTTATTAGCCATTTAAAATATACTGATTGCCATTGGGCACTAATTTTGTCTCCAATTTTGCTGTAAGTAAATGCAAATAAAGAAACACAGGGAGTTACATAAAGATCAAAATAGTTGGAAATTGTATAAATAAATGTAAACATTTTATTGGATCTCAATTCAAACAAAATTTTATTACATGGTACCATATATTTAAAATGTTGAGCATCAGCACAAAATAGTTTCAGCTACAATTTTACCAAAAACAGAGTGACTGTATTCAAATGGGCCAATGTATTTACCTGCCATACATACGGAAAGAGTAGTATCCTACCCATTGACTGCTGTCTTCCTACTTAATATACACATGCAACTGTTTCACAGGCACTGAAAACTCACCAGGTCCAATATTGAATTACCTGCTTTTCAAGTCCTGCTGAATTAATCGGAGTTTTTGATTGCACATAAAAATTAATTCGCAGTCATCGGGGCAACAAGTGTTCTGTTGGAAGAATCCTAGGGCAGCGAACAGAATCTGAAAGCAGCTACTCTCTTTCTTCTCCCCACAATTCCCCCAAGGGAATGGGACTAGGCATTAAAAGCCTAGTGGGAAACCAGGAAGTACTTTCTTATTCTCATCTCTGCTGCTGTATGCTCCTCTGCTTCATTTCACTGCAGACCTGGAGTATCTTCAACAGTGGACGGGGGCCCCACAAATCCCTACTTTGATGTGGGTTCTCCAGTTCAGGTCATACAAAGGCGTGAACTGCTTCTTTCTTCTTACTCTCTAGAATTGCATCAGAGGGAAGCGTCTTTAACTTCTTGGGGCACACCATGCTCTTTCCATCACAGCCTTTGCCATAGAATGCTCTGCCTTTCCCCATTCAGCAACCACCTTTTACATATGGAAAAACCAAGCCTTTCAGAGGCGTTAGGTAACTTGCACAAGAACACACAATAAATATCAGAGCTGGGATATAACCCTAGGTCATACATGCCTGATTCCAGGGACCTATACCATCTAGAAACGACTCTTTGGGTGTAATTGACCAAAGAATACATTGTCAGAGACTCATAAGGAGAGTCACTGATTTCAGAGGAACACTTCCTTGTAGAGCCATGCATTCATCAACCAACAATGATTTACGTTTCTCAGTATTACTAGAACACTGGGCTGAGCAACTGGTAACTAAACAGATATATAATACTAGATCCTAAAAGCCCCTGATTGAAATGGCAGAAATGAGATAATCATCATACACCTACTCTAAATGGCAACCAAGATTTTGAACACATAAAACATGATATATTTGCCAAACAAGTGATATAGTCAATAAATGTAGATCATCATATGCTACAAAATTCACAAGAAGCCTCAGAGGAGAGATGGGCCTTTGATTTAAGTGATTGGGATTTCATAAATCCTTACCCCAGGGATTTTAATGGACTTTATATATAAAAAGAAGGAGAGTGAGAATAAAACTTCCTGGGGAGCTATTGTAACATATCAACATATTATAATGTCATATACCGAATAAAGCATATAAGATCTATGAGTTTAGATTCTTCTAAGAGATGAAAAATACAAAATCTGGAAGAAGAATAGAGTGGAATTTCTTCATCTGAGACTCTTAAACTCTAGAGGATTCTGTTTCAGAATATAATACCATCCCCATATATCAGTGTCACCTAGAGTTTGTTAAAATACAGATTCTAGATCCTCCTCAGTTGTATTCAACTCATATCTCAGGGGATTGGTCTCAGGAATCCACTGTTTAAATAATCATCTGAGCAGATTATTTTATTTTGACAACCTTTATTCCAGAGGGTGCATGTATAAGCTCTAGGAGGTATAGCACACATGAAAAGGTTCATGAAGTCTTGAGCATGTACACCTATCTGTCTAGAGAAAGGTCAGTGACTTTCATCAGATGCACAAAAGGGGTCTGCAATCCAAAACAAAAACAAAAACAAAAACAAAAAACAGGTTAAGTATCACCAGAATATAGGAAAGAAGGCCAAGGTATTTTAAAGATTGAGAAACAGAATGATTTCAGTATTAAGGGAATAAAAATTACCTAGCCCAGGATAGAAGCCCCAACCTGAGGGAAGATCTGAGCATGCAGTGATATTAAAAAGATGATAATTCCAAAAACTAAAAATAAGTATTTACCATCTCCACTGAAGGTGGAAGAAGAATAACTATCATAAAACTATAGCAGAAGAAATTGAGACAGGAAATAAATACTTCTTCACACTAAAAATGCTAGGAATACCCCAGAGGGTAGGAATAAACTAGATAATCATCTATCCAGGAAGTCAGACACACGAAAAGATATGTTATCCAGGCCTATCTGCTTTTTCAGCAGAACACATACTATGCATTCTTGGCTATTTTTGTTATTGTAATAACCACAAAGGTCCCAATAAAGATAGAGACTTTATGATATTTAAGGTATTTTGAGTGTGTAGCTTTATTAACAATTTAAGTTAGTCTCTTGTTATATGTTCTATGTTCTTCATTAATTTTCCATTATTTTAGCAAGATGATCACTACTACAGTTTAGTGATTTCTTTTAAAAGGCACATGTTGAACACATTATTTGGCTAATTTTCTACTGGAAAAATATGATAAATGTTTTATTTAATAATACCCATTTTAAATAAACTAAGTTTGCATTTATGAATGGGATACCATAAAATACATTGTCTTGGGACCTGACTAAAACGACCCCATATAAACTAGTCAATTTCATTGATTTGGTCAGGAAAATACAAACATATCAAATATGTAGTTTAACTTTTTATAGGAAATTAAAATGTTGACTTTTCATCCAGATTGTTTATATATATATGTATGTATGTATGTATGTGTGTGTGTGTGTGTATACACATGTATAATCAAAACAAGGATAGGAAGTTTGTAAAATGTGTTTCATGGAAAGCACTGTAACAAGCTAGTTAAGTAATTGACATAAAAATTATTTTTGTTAATTTTTGAAATACAATTGCAAAAACTGATTAAATAAGAAGCTAATTACTAAGGGCTAAATTTAAACTAATAATAACCATAAAAAACTGTATATTGAAGAGTTGAAAATGTATACTATAGAACTAAACTAATAAAAACATCTAATGCAACGTAGTGAAAGAAAAATAACATCGGGAGACATCAGTTCAGTTCCCATTTCAGCCACCAATATTTGTCTTAATTTGTTCTGATATACTGCAGTTCCATGGGGTAACCTAGCAAATGATACCTTCATTACCCAAAATATTGAACTATATTCTTCTCATCTGAAGTACTAAATTCACATTAGAAGATGGTGGCAATGAGGGAATTTCACTATAACCTAAAACTTGGAACATTGTATAAGAGAAAAAGACTTTATTACTTCACTAAACAATTTAATAAATGTTATATGAATGCTTATTTAAAATGAGGAAAATTGTCTCACAACTTTTTCTTTACATTGGTTTTTTTTTCTTTTTGTTTTCATAGAATTTCAAGCTCACAAAAAAGTCGCAAGAATAGTAACAAAAAATCCTGTATGTTCTTTATCCAGATTTACCAATCCATGTTCTTTATAATTTTTGATATTTATGTTTTTTCTAAATCACTTAATGCTAAGTTGGAAACATTGTGCTACTTTACCCTAAAATATTTTGTGTGTATTTTCTAAGAACAAGCATATTCTTTTACGTAACTACAGCTGAGTTCTCAAAATCAGGAAATTTAACAGTGATATAATACCATTATTTAATGCACAATTCATACTTAAGTTCCACCACTAATTTCTTATGTCAAGAATGACCCAAAAGAAAAAAAGCCAACATGAGAAAAAATAAACTTCATGAGAAAATACAAAAAAATTCAGAAGTTACTGAACATATGAAAGAAACAAAAAGGTAGGGATAGCATTAGGAGATATACCTAATGCTAAATGATGAGTTAATGGGTGCAGCACACCAACATGGCACATGTATACATATGTAACAAACTTGCACGTTGTGCACATGTACCCTAAACTTAAAGTATAATAATGATAAAATTAAAAATAAAATAAAAAGGTTTCCTCTTGGGGGAAAAGAAAAAGATGATGCAGTCCACTATTCTCTATAATTCTTAGAGGTTTTACTCTTTATATAAAATCAAAATAATTCAGAGTTTTCTGCAAAGTCTCTGGTTTTTCTTTCCAAAATTAGTCAATAGGACACGTTAACATTTCTTAAACAGAAGTGAATGGCACTATGAGACAGATTTCTCTAAGCGGATCATTAGAGCACAAACACAATTAATGGCTAGGCCTAGTGACAAAGTATGCCATTCACTTCCATGAAATAGTGTGTGTCTGTCTAGGGGCAAGAGGCATTTAGCATAGAAAACAGCTATCAGGATTTATTTCCCACTTTAAAAATGCTCTTACACTTGCTGCACACACAACTTAAAATCAATGACTGGAAGCAGGAAAGAACTGGACAGCTTCACCAGTTAAGTTACTCCTTTTCCTCCAAGACAGTAGCAAACTATTAACCTGAATGCATTATCTACACTAGTATAGACATACATACAGATAATAACATTAAATAAATACATAAAGTTATTCAATGTGATACAGGTTAAGAAGGCTGAGATTTGAGTGGATGCAAAACACTATTTCAAATATATTTTTAAATTGAAAATTCTGTTTTAACCAGAGAACTTTACATATTATAGCATTAGCTGAGAGAGTTCAGTTTTGTTTGGTAATTCCAAAGGTCCCACAATATGGCTTAGTCAGCATCTAACTTCATAATGTGGTCACAGAAGTCATCACCATCTCTTAGGCCAAGGACAAGTCCATAAAGAGCATACACAGCCCTTGGTAAATAAGTTGAGGTTATTTATTTCTGGTTTTAAATATGAAATTATTTCAATTTTGACATTCTGTTGTAATTTTCTTTATCTCTCAAGTGAAAACTAGTGGACCAAGGAGAGATGCCCTATGGTCTCTATGAAAACATTATTCACTCACGCATTCAAAAACTGTGAGTTTATTCATAGAAGTAATAGTGTCATAACAATCATTATCTGTGTGTCCATTTTCAGTTCATAAGACTTTAGCATACATAATGTTATGTCATCCTCATACTTACTCGTGAAAGGTGTGCTTAAGTGCTAAAGAATAAAAAGTGAAGCAAGACAGGCCCATGTACTTAAGAAATTTAAGCTTACATGGAGAAATACCCAGCTAGGTGTAATTATTTTAGTGGGAAGAATAATATTTGCCCTTCAGCTTGTTTAGAATATATTATCCCATAGATTTCAGTTGTGTAATTACCTATGTCTCATATAAACTATGTCTTATTATTATAGGAAATGCTGATTGTACTTGGAGAACTAGAGCATAAGTATAAAACGAAAAATCGTAGGTCAGCAAGATTCAATAATAGTGAGTTTTACTTTCATTTTTCTGAGTATTCAAGTGAAGAATTATGGAAAGATTATTAATAGCCATGAAACAATTTGTAAATAATGTTGAGAGGAAATAGAGTTTACTGAGCTGGGAAGATTAGCATCACAGCTTAATTACTGACTAATTTAATTATCTTGGGCAAGTTTTTAATTCTCTAAACCTTAGTTTTCTCATCTGTAAGATGAAGGTAAGAGTCAGTCTCTCTACTGGATTCTATATAGATTGAACACTACATAAAACACCTAGTATAACTCAATAAATGTTGTCTTTTGTATTTGAATAATTCCGTATGGGATTATCTATATATTTCTAAACACTAGCTCTCTGGACTAGGATTAGAATAAATATTTCTTGTAACAGCTGTGTGTTTCTTCAGTAAAGCCTTGTGCTGCAATGATTTGACTGGAAAATGAAGGAGGAAGAGAAAAATGTAATGAAACTCCAGTTTCAGAAGAATATTTGTTGTCTTCAGTTCTATAATCACTGTTAGGTATGAGTTTAATACTCCCTCATTATCACTATTAGAAATAAAAACGCTTCCTAAGAATGGCCTCTTTTGATATTGTAATTAGTAAAAGTGGAATTTTGTTGGAAAGGGTACTGACATAGTTGAGATAATGTCTACTTACATTTATATCTTTATTCAAAAGCATGACAATTATTTTTGAAGGAGTCAGGCTTACCATCTTGAGCAATTCTATGCACTCGTGACCAGAGAGACTATATCTTAAGAGGCAGCATTGTGTACAGGGAAATGAATGAGCTCTGGAGCAGGCTCTCCTACTTTACAAATCTCAGCTCATCCATTTACTTTCTGTGTGATTTTGGACTTGCTCCTTAATCATACTCAGCTTTACTTTCTACTTTTTAAACTGGAGATAATAATACATATCTTGTATTATATGTATAAGTACAATACATACTTCTTAGGGCTATTGTAAATATTAGACTGTTATGTAATCGTTGTCAAACACTTGATACACGGATAGTAAATCATGTTTCTTAGCTTTATATTTAGCTATTTGGATACAGAACTTTATGACATTGACAAAACCTTTATAGTCATGTTTCTACTTTAGATCATTCTTTTTATAGTGGTATTTTCAAAATTATACTTCTGTTAGATAAAGGCATTGATCCTTTATTAACCAATGGTGGTCTGTTTTCTACTATAAAATGTGGGATAAAGAGATGGTCTCTAGAGCAATAAGAGTTTCTATACAACTGCTAAACATTATGAAGGTAAAAGCAGGCTGCTAACAAACCCATGAGCAGTGACCTCCAGATTTACTTCCCAAAGAAATAACATTTATAGCAGAAGAAAACTGAGTACTTTTTTAATTTACTGGGAAAGGAGAAAAAAAAGCTTCTAAAACATTGACACTTTTTAGGTTTTAGATCTACTTACCTACTAACTTTCATGAGCTAAGAACCCCATCTGTATACTTCCTTTGAATCAGAGTAAATCCAGCCTTTCAGAGTGCTTCCCCACCTAAACCTTCCAGTACCTGTCTAAGCATCTAACAATGCCACATTTTTTTTAAAAAGTCTTTCCTTCAACCTCCTCTCCCATTGGAACCTTATCTCAATGCTTCATTAACACAGAAACCAATAGCAGTTTAGTGCTTCATCCCTCCTATTGGTCTTTGCACTTCAACAGAGGTCAAAGGCTGATAATTACATTGAAAGTATGAAGCGTAATTTGTAAAAAGTGTCAGGCTTCTGGAGGAAAGAGTTCTAGAACTTTTTGCAAAAATAAAATCATACTGGATGATTGGCGCCAAGCCATTTTTGGGGCATTTTAGCCAATACAGAAAAAATGAAAGTGTCTATCAGACATGCTTTTGGCTTATTCAAAATAAAAACCACATTAATTGAGTCCCATGAAAAAGGGAGTACAGTTAGTCCTCGCCTAATATTGTCGACATGTTCTTGGTAACTGTGACTTTAAGCAAAATGATGTATAACGAAACCATTATTACATATTTCAAATGTAATAATAAAATGAAGTTGAACAAAACTATGTTATTAGAGTATTTTTCAATTTAGATTACCAATTTCATTGAATAACAAGGATAAAAATGAGAAAATTGGCATCACCTTTATCCTCTAAAATGTTAGTCTTCAGGTTATTTTTAGAGAATTACCATCTTTAATCCCTCAAATGTGTTTCTAGGTATTTTCCCACTTTATACTTGTCACAATCCTGGAAGGCAAGTACTATTATCACCCTCATTTTGTGAAAGCTCATGAAAGAAAAGTAGTTAGGGTTGAGTAAGTATTTTTTTTTTTTTTTTTTTTTTTTTGCTTTGGACATGAGGAATCAAGGCTATTATATGAGGTAGATTTGTATTGAATTCCTGCAGAAGTCCTCTTGGGTCTTTTGGCAAAGGATCACCCCTGCCATTTGTATTGTAAAGAATTGCTTCCATAGGCCACAATCTGTCCACTCTTCCGAAACCTAACCAGGTGGGCTGTTAGTAAGTCTCTTCTAATTTAGGGAACCATTCCAGTGTCTGATATAAAGTGCTTTAATAATTTTGTTTCATGTATATCAGCCATTGACTGAGCTTTTGGCACACCATGAAGAGCAATTATGTAGCTTTCTCATTACTCTTATTATCCATCTGTAAAGAACCCTGTCAATAAACTACATTCCCTGCTGGTTGGGGTCTTTTTTTAACCTAACCTCCTGAACTTTACTCTACTCTGCCTAAGGCAAAAAGAGGAGCAGCAAACATCAGCACAAATATCAGGAGGACTTATAAAGTAGTGACAGAAGACAGTAGAAAAGACTGAATAACTAGCAAGAGTTCCCTTCCTGTCTTCAGCACTGTTACACTCTTGGAGCTAAACCTTTCAACACCAGATATACTGAAGATAGATTTTTATTATAGAGGTTGCACTTGCCTTTAGACAGACTTCATCATCTTTAGCAGTCTCTCTCCCAAAATTGAAAAAGAGGGAACTTTTGAAACAGTGAAAACTGATTTATTTTACCACTACTTTGTTTTATTCATGTCATATATTTAGGACAATTATTTCTTTATGGCTATCAATAGATAGTACTTTAGGGTATTTGATAGTGTTCATACTAGCAAAACACATATTCATCTTGCATTATAGTTGTTTTTTAAAATATCAGAAAGAATTACATTTTAACTTTGAGTATATGTTAATCACATTCATGATCATTGTTAATTTATTTATCTGGTATATGTACTAAGTATTTTTCAGATCAATGAATTTTAAAAAAACCTTTATGATAATTCATTGATGATGACTTCATCATATTAAAATTTTAGTTGCTGCACATTGAATTTTGATTAAGATTTAGTTAACCCAATCTTTGGGTTATTTCAAGTATCCTAAGCTAGGGGACTTTTCTTTTTGTTTGTTTTTAAGCTTCCATTACAAGTAGCGTTCACAGTTGGCATTGTTGACATGGAAACTAGTATAAGGATGAACACAATTAAAGAAATCAGGGGTTAGAGAATGTAAATATAATTGTAAGATCACATATATCCATATTCCCATGGAATTGTGAAATTGCTTTGAGGAGTATATAAAAATAAATTCAAGCAAAAGAAATATATTCCATGTTAGCTCTCTAGATTGACAATTTGCTGATTTCTCCATCTTCCAATATGGCATGTGATTTTCTGCTCTGTTTTGTAATATGTAAAGTTAATGTGTGATGGAAGGATACATTTCTGAAGTCACAGGGCATGGAGGATGGACATATGAGAAACCAAAGGTAGTAATTTAGTATCTCAAATCCCTGCTGGTATGCAAAGACTTTAGTAACAACTCAGCCCAGGTTCCGACTCAATAATTTCCATTCCCCCATTGCCTAAAGCAAATTCTTCTCCACCGAGTGAAGGCACATTTAGCATCCATATAGCGTTATGTTGAGAAATTCGTAATTAAATTACATTAATTCTAATGAATTCAAAATACAGACATTTCAAAAAGAATTTAACGTCCTGTTTATGGTCAAATAATATTTTATAATTTAAATATAATAAAACTATAATAATAATTTAACTTGTACATTCCATTGTAATCTCTGTGGAGAGCCTTTTCCCCAGGCACCTCCAAATAACTTATAGCAAAGATTCTCAAATTTTTGTTTACATGGGAATCATCTGGAAGGCTTATCAAAATTCTGATTGCTAGGCCTCACTACCAAAGTTTCTGGTTCAGTAGGTCTGGAGTGATGCCAGAGAATTTGCATTTCTGACAAGCTCTCCAGTGATGTCTGTGCTGCTGGTCCAGGGACCACACTTGGAGAACTAGTAGCTTAAAGGACCCTCCATCCTGCTAGGATTGGATTTTCCAACAACCAGCCATTTTGAAAGTTTAAAAATAAGCAAAGAATTTATATAAGGATGTAATAAGGCTGGAGTATTGACAGGAAATGCTTTGAATGGCATTTAATATTACTCTTTGTTTCCAGAGACTTGAAAGTTCTTTTCATGGATAATGCTGCTCTCCTCAGTCAAAGGAGTTAACCACCAGCATCTGTGTGACTAATTGCCATCTGTGCTCTCTGAAACCTTGCTAATAGAAGAGCATGTCAAAGATCTCTAATGAATTTTAAAATGTACCACTTGTGGATGATTTGAGATTATTTTTATGTAAAGGAAATTATAGACCTCCTGTCTAATATATTAATCAAAAAAATTGAGTGTTATGATTGAGTGATGCGGCATTAAAGTTAGATTAAAAGGTGGAAATAGTCACATAATCAATATAGCTTGTAGCACGTAAAACAAAACAAAACAAACAAAAACTGGTCCGCCTGCTCAGTACCCATATAATCTATTAATGGTAGTTGGGAAAGGACTAGGCAGTCTGAATATTTTGATTTATAAATCAAATAAATTGTGATTTATAAATCAAAAAAATCACAACTTCTGACACTGACTTTCTGTGATGATCACTTAACTTCTCAAACACTATTTTCTCATTGCCACAATAAGGGTCAATTATGTTGACCTGCCCCATAAGTAAGTGAGAACAGTAATAATTGGAAGGAGCTCTTTTTAGAACTTGATTTTTAAAAATAATAGTCAAAATACCTTTTAGTATATCTTTGTTCAATTTGGTTAACCAATTTACCTGAGAGATCATGCTATGAAACTGGAGTACAATAAAGAGCAATGAAAAAAAGAGCTGTGTTTTACATATAGAAATGTAGAAATAGTGATATTTGTAAGGCTTTTGCTATTACAGGGAGGATGTAAATTAGATTGTTACTCTAAACACAGACTTAAATTTTGCCTTCACATATATTAACATTCGTTTGATTTTCCAGTGACTATTCTAAGTATTTTAGAGTGGTAATCACTGACTTCATCCAAACCTTCATCATCTTTTCCTTTATTTATTTCTTCATTGAGTAAATACTAGTATCTGGTGTTCTTTTAAACTGTGCCTTGACCCAATATTTTAATCAAAGTTGTATGTCTCAGATACAAGATATCCAAATATGAAATTAGAAGAAATAAAGACAAATGAAAAGCTATCTGACGTCTATAGGCTACCTGATTTAAAAATAAATGAAAAATAATAAAAATAAATATGTAGTTCTTGTGGTTCTTCAAATTGTTGATTTGCTTTGCAATTAAATGAAATATATATGTATTAGTCTATTCTTACATTGCTGTAAAGAAATAACTGAGACTGAGTAATTCATAAAGAAAAGAGGTTTAATTAACTCATGGTTCTGCAGACTGCACAAGAAGCATGGTGGCTCCTGCTTCTGGGGAAGCCTCAGGAAGTTTCCAAGCATGGCAGAAGGCAAAGGGGGTGCAGGTATCTTACACGGTGGGAGCAGGAACAAGGAGAGAGTGGGGAGGTGCCACACACTTTTAAACAACTGGATCTCACAAGAACTCATCACTATCACTAGAACAGCACCGAAAGGATAGTGCTAAGCCAGAGAAATCTACACCCATGGTCCAATCACCTCCCACTAGGCCCCACCTTCAGCACTGGGGATTACAGTTCAACATAAGATTTGGGTGGAGACAAATATACAAACTATATCAACATCTTTATTATATATTTATCATATGTCCAGATGTCATTCATTCATCCATGCACGAATGCATGCAATATGCATTCATATAAACTCATTTTCGTGTAATCATATGCCTACAGCTATAGAGCACACCATTACTACAAAATAAATTGAAGACCAAGATTTCTTACAGAAATAAAGCCAAATTCTTTTCTCACAAAATTTTCGATAAAGTTGGTTAAATACTATCAGTATCAGGCTAAATTAGCAACTTGAATGGGGGTACATCAGAAGCCTTAATCAGGCCAAGTATCTTGTGGTCAAATAGAATATTAGTATTATGGAACTTCAACTTTAGGAAATTATAGTATGACCTTTCTTTAGTGTTTAACTTATTCTTTAAAGGCTACATGATGAATAACATATATTGCCAATTATCTATCAAAGTCCTTTAAGATTATATTACATTTTTGAATAAAATCTATTTTGATAAATTAGAGAATGATGCCTTAGGGCTTATTTATATTATACCATAAAATTTTTAGAAACCATCATTCTCGGCAAACTATCGCAAGGACAAAAAACCAAACACGGCATGTTCTCACTCATAGGTGGGAATTGAACAATGAGAACACTTGGACACAGGATGGGGAACATCACACACCGGGGCCTGTTGTGGGCTGGGGGAAGAGGGGAGGGATAGCATTAGGGGATATACCTAATGTAAATGACGAGTTAATGGGTGCAGCGCACCATCACGGCACATGTATACATATGTAACAAACCTGCACGTTGTGCACATGTACCCTAGAATTTAAAGTATAATAAAAAAATTTTAAATTTCTCAGAAATATTCCAAATACTTATTGAGCATGTACTTTGAACAGACATTGTTCTAGGCACTGGTAATGCATAAATGAGTGTAGTAAGCAATGGGCCTGAAAGTGTTCAGGCAGCATCAATCTTTGTTAGAAGTGTACGAAATTTATTTAAACATGCACTTACCTTTTGGACTAATCAAAGGTATCAGAACATTTTCTGAGCAGTTTTAGACTCTGAGGAAAAAATACAAATATTTCAGAGCTGTAGATAATGATATCTTATATTCTGAAACCTCAGATAAACCATTAGGTTACAATGCTTCTTGAATATACTTACCAATTAAATTTTTTGAGGCAAAAAATAACAAAAGTGTTCTTCCCTGTTATTAAAACTGAACAGGTCTGTGTCTTCTAAAGATGCTATGGCTTTAATCATTTTAACTCTGAAGATAATGTTTGCTTTCCCACTAAATCAAGCCTACATAATGGAGCACAGAATTCTGCCCTGATGAAATGGGCCTCCATTGAGTAAAGTGCTTCTGTTGTTTATATTCATCTTTTATAATAGATTTGGACTACTGTTTTGTCTTAGAAGCTTATATGCAGGGCTATCCCTAGACAGCATTTTGAAGTGGGCAAAATTTATGTTGATTGTGCTGTTTCTAGAACCAGTCAGTTATTTGCTAAAATGGCTGCTAACTCGTAATTTGTCATTTACTCAGAGGTCCTAAAGCAAACTGAAATTTAAAAATTATCACTCAAAAATCACAAAACTAGTACAAAAAATTTAAGCAATTAAATTTCAAGAATTATTTTTATAAGTTTGTAGCAATTATAGTACGGAAGTAATTAAAGCTTAAAACTGTACTAAGCTTTTTGGGACAACTTGCATTATAGAAATATAGACAATATTTAGATACACCATTTAAATATACATTTATGCTTTTCAGTGAATAACATATAATATGTATTACATATTAAAAGTTATATGTCATATATACATTTGTATAAATATATTTTATGTTTATTTTAGTATAATGATATGTACATATTTCATAAACATAAATATACTACATATATATGCAATTCCCTGAAATTCTTCCATTTGCCAAGACACCTATTAGAAAAATGAGAGAAAAAAGAAGATATGTTATTGAGTGAATCTGAAGTTCTACTAAAAACTTTAAAGCTACTTTTCATATATAAACATACCTTATAAAGAAAAATACATTTCATAATACAAATCCAAATTTGAGAGAAAGAGATCAGGTATGAAGAAAAAAATAGACTTTTCCCAAAAAAACTATTTTACTTTATAGTTTTATGTTCTTTGGAACAATTTGGTTCACTTTATATTATGTTATAACTAACTTAATGCCATGTATTCATGGAGTGGAGTGACCCAAAGCTAGAATTTTATTTTTAATTGGTCACAATCTCATGCTGTCAAACATAGACTCTCCTTTAAAAGAAAATGTTGAAGTCATAAGTAACTATGTTGTTGAATAAGCTTCTAAAATTTTTGTAGTTAAAAGTATGAATTAACATATTGGACTATCTGTCTATTGAATAAACACAGGATGTCATTTATTTCTTCTTGCAACAATTTGCTGTTTAAATGTTATGACCTGCCTTAATGGAATAAAATTTCATATATTATCACTTTACATTATTTCATATTCTCTAGCTTATCTCAAAAGTCTTATTAACATTCTTTATGACCACACTTAAATAAGTAACCCATATACAATTCTATATGAATCATAATATACATATAAATTGCAATCTATATTTTTTCCTTTACCATATCTCTGAATCAGTATTGGTTATTCTCTGCCTTTTTCCCCCTTCTTTGCTATACTGTTTGAGTCAGTATTGGTAATTCTCTGCCTTTTCCCCCCTTCTTTGCTATACTATTCTAGAGAGAATATTGGCCATTTATCTCCAAAGGACAAGTAACAGTGTGATGTATTGGTAAGATAAAAGACTAGATGACAAAGGAAATGGTATCTCATCCATGCTGTGTTACTGTTTAACAGTGTCATCTTGGAGAAAATCACTTTATCACTTAGGGTCCAAGTTTCCTCACTTAAACAAACATACAAACAAAAACGATCCAGTTCACAAAGATGGACTCTAAAGCCCCTTTCTATATCTTACTGCCCATGAATCACTTTGAAATAGTGGTTTCTAATCTTTATGTTGACTTCCTATCAAAACAGTTTATTGAGAAGTCTTGCAATATCCATTGATTCCAATCACATCTCATCTGTCCATGTCTGTTTACTATTTTGCATCTCATGACTTTATAAAAATTAAATGTCTACAAGTGATAGTGAAAGCAAAAAGGTTAATAGCAAAGGTTAATAGTGCTCACGTGTTCCACTAGAATTAAACAATGATTCCCATGCCTCCTCCCCACAAAAGAGATTTTTTTTCCAAAATCAGTCACTTTTAAATTAACTTAATACAAAACAAATCTCTAAACTGCATAAAGAACATTAACTGAAGAAAAATATTTGAAGCCATTATTGAAATATTTTATATTCAAGGAAATCACAATTTAAGAATTAATCCTGACTGACTATTGTCAATCTGGTTTCTAACTGACTGTTAAACTTTTAAATTGACAAATTGACTGACTTAAATCTCTAGACTAACTCTCCATCCTTGATCTCAGTAAATATATGAACTGCAGTACTGTTAGCCAGAAAGAATACATTGTCCTCTGACAAAGTAGGTTTGAATTGAGTTCAAGGCCCCTTTGCTGTGTTCAACATACACACCATGACCTGCTCTGCTTCATATTTTGCTCTCTTCCTTAACCTCAACAATTCTCTGCCATTGATGGGATAAGTATTTCATGCTGTTAGTTTGAACATAGTACTGAGAAATCCAACCAGGTCACTTCTGAAATAGCCTGCAAGCCCCTAGTAGCCTAGCAACTTCTGTTACACCAAAGCCAGACTCTGTCAAAAAAATCTTTTTAATAATTGGAAAAAAGTATAGCAGGGAGCTAGTATTAAAAGGTAATGTTTCCTAACATTTTTTTGCATTTGTCAAGTGGAAAGATAGGAATGTATAGAACCAAGGGAAGATAGGAATGTTTAAGTGACTTCTAAAATATTATTATGAAAAAGAAACTATTATCATTTTTTGTTTCCCTGAGTCTAGGAAAAGAAAAAATTTTAAGCCTCAAAATTTGGAATTAATGTTTTTGATCATAAGACTTTCCCAGTAAGAATAATTATAATTATGAAGTATTTTGTATCAATTAGATATTTTCTAAGCATGTTGCAGGCATGGATTCTTTTAATACTCCAAACAACCCAATAAGGTAAATATGTATATGAGCCCTTTATTTTTAAAAATGAAGATACTGATGCTTAGAGGTTATGTGACTTGCCCTAAAAACTTTAGTTTTGTAGTAGAAACCAGTAGGGACAAAACATTCACTTTATAGCATGCTTTATGATAAGTATCTTTGGGATTAATTTTCTGGAAAAGGTTGTGGAGTCTCATTAGCTACTTGAGACAAAGGATTATAGATACAGATATTTATAAAAATTACACACATATACACATATGTACATTATTTTCATCTGTGAGAACAATTACATATGTGAGCCTTCTGTGGGAAGAGAACATAATCAATAAGTATGGGACAACTTGGAGTTACATTCACTTACTTAGTACTAGAAAGCATTTTTCTCCTCAAGCAGAAATTAAGCTAATAATAAAATATATGAGATATAAGAATACTGTTACAATTTGAATATATATAACTTGGAAAAGAAAACCAGAAATGTATGTTTTAAAAAAACCAGGCTGGGCACGGTGTTTCACGCCTGTAATCCCAGCACTTTGGGAGGCTGAGGTGGGCGGATCACGAGGTCAGGAGATCAAGACCATCCTGGCTAACACGGTGAAACCGCGTCTCTACTAAAAATACCAAAAAATTAGCCGGGCGTGGTGGCAGGCGCCTGTAGTCCCAGCTACTCGGGAGGCTGAGGCAGGAGAATGGCGTGAACCAGGGAGGCGGAGCTTGCAGTGAGCTGAGATCATGCCACTGCACTCCAGCCTGGGCAACAGAGCGAAACTCGTCTCAAAAAAAAAAAAAAGAAAAAAAAATAGTAAATAAATTGACCAAAAATTAAGGGCATTTGGGGGTGGTAAGACTCTAGCCAACTTTTTATTTCTTTATATATTTTTCATTTTACTTAATGAGTAACATTACTACTAATATGATGAAACATATTTAAGGATGAAAGTAGAAATGTAATTATATAGTGTTATAGTCAGAGTCTTAGAGTTATAAATACATTATCTGTAATTATTTCTAGAAAGTATGAGCATCCATTAGAGAAATTATTAGGCAGTAATATGCACATTTGTTAGATTTTGGATCTTAGAAAATCAGTGACTTCAAAAGGCAACTTACCTCATTATCAAAATATTAGATATTGGAATTAGATATCAAATGAATAATATAAAAATATTAGAAACTTCTTTATATTGACCCGAATTTTATTTCAATAGCATAGTTTATACTTATAAAAATAGAAAAAAATCCTGGACTTAAAAAAGCAATCCAAGGTGATGTTTGGCTTATTTACTAGTGCTTTTGAAGTGCTACTTTATTCATAGGATAATAAGAACTTATTTGAAGCTTACAGAGATCAACAGAATATGAGTTATTTTCTCAAAGAACTCTCAGACTAGGTAAAGACATTAGACATATACCTAAATAAAAGTCAGAAGAAATCATTGATTCATTCTTCAAGCAGTACTGAATATCTAGTAGATGACAGGAATACACTAGCGAATAAGACACAGTCTCTGCCCTCGATAACCTCACAGTCCAGGAGAGGAACTAAATAACAAATGTAGTGATTACAAGAACAATGTATATATGGATTCATTCTTTTATCACTAGTCTATTTCAAGACTTTTATTAAGCACCTTCTGTGTTTCTACCAAAAAATGGGAGGAGACCGTGAGGGGTACAGAAGCATGTCAAAATTAAGTCCTTATGGAAAGGAATATACTATCCAGAATGAAGTAGGCAACTGTTTGTATTTGAAACTATTGGAGAGAAAATTCAAAGCAATTTTTCTAGATTCTAAGTGGTAAGGAAGGAAACAAATTAGCAACCTGATTAATCCAGGAACACATTCATGGATGAAGTGTTCTTGAGCATTCATTTTAACAAATAAATTTTAATTTACCATATTCTATTCTATTTCAAAGTGATCAGTATTGCTTCAAATGCTAATTTAAAACATTAACTTTAATAATGTAGTAGTAGAATCATCTCAATTTTCCTAACCTATTTTCAACAAACTGAAAAAAAGCAGGAAGTAATAAGCTAATTAAAAATAAATTGATTGTGCTTCATTCCTTGATTTTTGCTTCCAAAAGGTTTGCCAGTGGCATAACAGAACATGACTTTAAAAAATAATTAACTTAAATACTGGTCTTTTTTCTTAATTATATATATCTTCATACTAACATGAGAGGAACTGTACAAAACAAGACAGCATGATGGAATTGAAGGAAGCCTGGAGCACAGATGGCATGCTGGGCTTTTCCTGCCTGTGCCTTGAACTGGCTTTGTGATCTTGCAAAGACTACTAAGCTCTTTTTGACTCACTTAGATTCAAAATGGGAAGATTTGAAGGAAATTGTAGAAATAAATTATTGTAGAAATAATTTTACCCTGCAAGTCTGAAATACTTCATTTTTATAAGGTAAATCCTTGACACCTAAAAATTTGCATGAAAAGGACATGGTAGGTAGATGGATAGGTAGACAGGTAGGTACGTGAACACACCTATGTGCAAGTACACTCAACCTCCAGTTCTGAAAGCCCTTGAAGGACCTAGAGGGCCAAAAACGAAGTAGATGGGGACATACTTCCTGTCCACAGAGCATCTAAAGCAAACAATCACATAATATTCAATTCAATGAATGATGATAAATCTTGAATATAAAAGAGAAATAGTTTCAAATGTCTTACAAATTGATAAATCAGTATCAGCACTGAGATATTTAAAGCCATTTTCTTTATATCTTTGCTAGATTTATCATCTAAAATATTGGATACTCAATTTTTAAGTTGATAAACTTAAAAATGGCTTTTTCTATGATGTGAGTGATATGCCTCATGCTGTGTTTAAAAAAATAATAAATCCCCGCTCAGACACTCATGCAAACATACACAAATTGTTTCATTTACATACTTATAATTATGGAAGTTATCTTTGAACTATTGTTCAAAAAAACAAAACAAAATATTGGGGAAAGGGAAACGGAATTCACTGAAGTTAAGAGCATTCAGAAATTTGTTGGTAGTTTTCTGATTTCTCCAAAATGATACTGTAAAGCCAGAGCTTGACCACATAACAAAAGTTAGCAATCAAAATGTTGTACCCCTTGGGATTTTGATAAAGAGAAAGAATTATTTAATTCTTAATGCAGATTTGAATTATTTAATAAAGTATTTAATAGATATGTAATGGAATAAAATAGTATTAATAGATATGTAATACATATGGCAATATCTATGCATCTTCATATCATTAATTCTGCACAGTTCTGAATGGGAAAGAGTCCCTAGCAATGAATTATATGGATACAAAAGAATGGTTTGGAATTATGTGGCTACAAAAAGAATGGTTTAGAAAAATAAAATCTAGAATCTAGGATGAAAATTAAAGGGATCTTATAGCTCTGTAATTTTTACTTGTCAGCAGTAGATTCTCCCCCTAGCTTCCTGATTAGAGGATGTACTTTCTTGGTACCTTTGTTTTTTGTGCTTAGGGAAAAAATATCTATTTGGGAAATATGAATGTACACACTTTAATATATGGCTTATTCCTTTGTATCTATAAAAATGAGGTTGTTCCTACTTGCCAGTAGGGTCTGGACAGTATACTATTTCTCATGCATAGAAGAGGTGGCCAACTGCTGCTATACCAGACATATCTTCCTACCAAGTGCCTTTGTATCCAGTGACCTCTGTGATCTGGGCCACTGAACAGAGGTACGGTCCACCCAGGCTGGCCCCAACTTTAGCCTTACTGGCAACAAATCAATCAGTTGGAACTCTGAGGTACTAGAACTTATAGTCCCTAGAGCTATTTACTAAATAAGATCTTAATGTGACAAATTGTTGGATTTGTTTTGAATAACATTAGATGTACCAGGGGAAGGGTTTGGACCTTTCACTGGCTGTGAAACATAGGGAAGGAAATATGCCACCTACACAGGGAGCCAACTGAGAAACACCAAATGTTTTATAGCCATGGTTTCCTAATAAAACCCCTAATTTGCAGGAAGTCATGGTGACCTTTCTCGAATTGCATGTATTTGTTGCTAATGGTCTCCAACACCATTTAAAGTGGCCCTATAAAAAGTATAAATCTAAAAATCTCACCAAAATTTGGTCTTTGTTTCTTTAAATTCAATAGAACTCAAAGTAAAAGAGTTCATAAAAAAATTGGCCCCACTTTCAGGTAGGAAGTGCACCATGTACCATTTAAAATAAATAAAAATCAGACAATTTCTATAGAAGAAACCTGCATTTCTTGTCAGAATATTTGTAGCTATAGTTAGCTGTCTCCAAGGTAAATAAGCTAATTTTTGTAGAGTTGATGTTTTTCTCTTTTTTATAGCTGTACATGGAATTATTACAAATTAAGTAGGGTGAGAGGAATGCTATATCTTTGCTAGAAATAAATTTTCTAAATTCAGCAACATTTACTTATACAAATAAAAATGGCACAATAAGGAACAATGAGGACTGTAAAAAATAGTCAATAATGCTTCTTCTGATGCAACAAATGGAAAATATTCCATTTACTCTCTTAATGATTAAATCGTGGTATAAGTGAAATGTAGGGAAAACAGCTGGGTAAAATGCCACACATGTTGTTTACACATTACCTGTCAAGAAAGTAAAAATTATCTAATTGAACTAAGTTCTCCATACACTGGTAATCTCATTCCCCACCATCAGGTTGAATGGCATTTACTTCCTCTTTGTGAACTCATTTGGCAATTTCAATTCAGGGTCTATCTTCATCTCACTTTCCTTCATTAATATCTACCAGCTATTTTCCATCTTTTTTTCATATTCCATTATTTCTGCTTGAGAAACTGAAAGTAATATTTGCAACTCTGATATTTTTCAACAACTGAAAAATAGTTGCTTCTTCTTCAAAAATAACAGCAATTTATTCTATATTTATGAACACATTTTGAAAAATGTTTATATTTGAAGATAGACTGTATCAGTTTATTTTCATACTGCTATAAAGAATTTCCCAAGACTGGGTAATTTATAGAGGAAAGAGGTTTAATTGACTCACCATTCCACATGGCTAGGGAGGCCTCAGGAAACCTACATTCATAGTCAAAGGTGAAGGAGAAGCAAGGAACTTCTTCACATGGCAGCAGGAGAGAGAAGAGTGAGCGAGCAGAGGGGAACTGCTATTTAACCATCAGCTCTTATGAGACTTATTCACTGTCATGAGAATAGCATGGGGAGTATCGCCCCCATGATTTAATCACCTCCCACCAGGTCTCTCCCTTAACCTGGGGATAATAATTCAAAATAAGATTTGGGTGGGGACACAGAGCCTAACCATATCACAGACTATATTATAACAGAATTGAATTTGGAAATGTCTTTCAAAGGTATTTTAATAATAATATAGATAATGAAAATGCTCAACATATTTATTGAATACTATGTGCTGAGGACTGCCAAATATTTTATATGTATTTATCTAATTCCCCAACTTCCCTATAATATAAAGACAGACTATCATTTACCTAATTGTACAAATGAGTAAACTGAGGCTAAGAGTGGTTAAGTAACTTTCCTAGGGTCACCCTACTAATAAATGAGAGAGCCAGTATGTAAATTTAGAAAGTCAAATCCTAGAATCACTACTCTATAAAATTATTGTAATTAAAACTATCATATTGATGCCACATATCAGTTTTCATTTAAGTTATGTTAAGCTAACCAGATAATTACAGCAATATAAGGAATTCTAGATATATGACAAACAAGTTTATAGAATTTAAATTCACACAACAGAAAAAACAGGAGAAAACATTAGTATGTACGAGTGAAGACTGAACATCTTTAAGGTCTATAAGTTTAAAAAAGCCTTCATATAAGAACTCTTAAAAAATAGAAGATTATATACAGCAGTGTTAATAAGCATAATTCACTACTCAGTTAGCATGGCTTAAGCTTTTTATTACATAATTAACATGATCATTATGTAAGAGTTAAATAATACAAAAGATTTAGATAAAAAATTTTTTCTCTCAATCCTACAACTCATCTCCTCAGAGGAAACCACTTTAAACTGTTTCTTTTTTTTATCATTCCAGATATATCTTGGTAAATGTAAATGTATGTTTATTAGAAACACGAATGGCATAAAACTATAAATATTAATGTACAGTTTATTTTTAACTTAACAATGCTCCTTGAAGGTCTTTCCATATCATCCCATAGAGATTGATCTCATTCTTTTTAATAGTTACATAATATTCTATTTCATTTATGAAAAATCAGTATTCTAGATTGTTTCTAGTTTTTTGCTGTTTCTAAAACTGCTCCAATAAACATCTTTGTGTACTCTCCACCTAATTGGTTGGGTTTAATTATTTTGTAGATATTGCCCTTCAAAAAGATTGTATCCCTATGCTCCCACCAATAATGCAGAAGTGCATTTTTCTTCATATAAATACCAATGCTGGACAATAGAAGACAGTTTAGTCTTTGCTAAGCTAACAGGTGGGAAAACTCATGACATTAATTTGCACATATTTAAATATGAATAGAATTAGTTATAATAAAGTCAAGTATTTATGAGTAGAGTTTTTTCATATTTGAATAGGTCATTTGTGTTTTTTGTTCATTTTTATTGAGTTTTCATCTCATTGATTTGTTATTTGTTTTCATAGGAATTTAACTACTTTCTGTCACATATGTTGTGAATATTTTTCCCAGTTCTTGATTTTTTTATGTTTTGGAGTGTGTGTGTATGTGTGTGTGTGTGGTCTTGTAAATAAATTTTAAATTCCTATCTTGCCAGAATTATCAATCTTGGCTTTTATGCCTCCTAAATTTGATGTCACCCTTGGAAGTTCTTTTTCTATTCTGTGATTACAAAAATACACATATTTTTATCTACTGTTCTCAATGTTTCATGCTTTTACATTTACTTATTTTATCCACCTGAAATTTATTTAGATGTAGGGACTGAAGAAGGAACCCATTTTTTCCCAAAGGTTCTGCAGTTGTTCCAGTGCCATTTATTAAATAACCCATCTTGTCCCTACCAATATAAAATGTCACCTTTCCCTATAATAAATTCCTAAGGGGAGTTGGACTTATTTCTGGATTTTCTGTTTAGTTATATTGAACTAATCTCTTTCAAAGTTCTCCTTGTGTCAATATTTTACTCAATGAGGTTTCCTTATCTTGGATTGCAAATGTATCCTCATTACAACCATGAGTTAGAAAGAAATCCTAAGAGGTCAATGAGCCACACTGTCTTCGCAGTAACTATACACAAAGAAGTTCAGTGTGTTTTGTTTCATTTTTAATATTTCAGATCCTTAAAGTTTTGATAGCTTCAATGTAAGAATAATTAAAGTTTTGTTTTTCTTTCCATATAGTTCACCTGCTTTTAGTTTTCAGTTATGTAGTCTTCAAGAATTCTAAAAAGATAGCAGTGCTGTTATGGATTGTAATGCTATATTTAAAAGGCCTTTTGCAAAAATAGGTGTAGTAATAATTTATGGAAACAAATCATTGCTAGTTTATAATATATGATTATTTAATCTTTCCAACTATGTGAAGGAGCATTATTAATATCATCTAAATTTATAGGGTGGAAATCTGTCTCAGAAATGCAAGTCATTAGCACAAGGCCATATGGCTAGCAAATTAAAAAAAAAAAGTTCTCAAATCAAATTCTGACTTTTTTATAGTAATCCAAAGATCTTTCCACTACTTCAGATTTCCTGAGGTTAGAAGCATTTTCAAAGTTTGGGCTTTGTGCCTGGCAGCGTGATAGGTATTGGGTAGTAAAAACAGCTTCTGTTCTCACTCCCTATATTAAGATGGAATTACTTGTGAAGTCCATAATAGACTAGGCAGAAGCAAAACTGAAATTAGTGGTTAATCATGACATCCTCCTTGCAACCTTATGATACCTGCTTCTCAATGCCCAGCTATTTTATACTCTCATGGTTCTAATGTGCAAAAAGCCACCGCAATGTCCTACCCAAGTCTGTCTTCCTTTGACTTACTCTTATGCTCTAAACCATAATTTCTTTTCACTTTCAACACTGTAAATTTACAGCTCTGGATCTTAAAGTGGTCTCCTAAAAACCCGCGATAATTTAAGAGTGATGCAACATCATCCTCTATTCTGGGCAATTTATATTTTATGGAGGACTTCTGACACTCCATTATTACTTTTTAATTATTAAAGAAATATATCGATCATTTTGGAAAATAAGTAGCATTATGGGAAAACTTCATCCATCATCTTATAATTAGAGATAATCTTTATGTATATACATGTAACATACTTCTCGACTCTCTTTGACATGCATGTATTTATTCTTTGAAGGGTTCTACTGGCCATAATGGTTCCTAGCCTCCTTTTTGTTTGTTTTTTATTCTAGGATATGTTTACAACATCTTTTCATGATACTGAATTCTCTTCCAACATAATTTTAAATTGCTGCATAGCAATCCACAATGTGTCCATCTCCCTGTTATGAGGCATTAGGCTGTTTTCATTGTTTGGTGTAATGATACTAGCCCCAAGTTTAGTATCCTTGCAGCAAAATCTTTATCCACATATGATTATTTTCTTAGAATAAATTCTGAGCAGTGAATTCATGAATCAATGTGACACAAAATTTTGAAGCTTTATGAAATAACTTAGCCTAAAGAAACAACTTCCTAGTGGGGCATTCTGGTTCATCCAACTGTGCCATCTACTTATGCCAAATATTTGCTTATAAGTTTGGGATTATCATGGTTTTGAAGAGCCAAATTAAAACCATTTTATATGTGTAACAGAGGGTGATGTTAAACCTTTTACATTTTTTGAGGAAAATTTTAAGGTGAGACTTGTAAAAGAAAGGATAGGACTCTGGGATATGGTCACACTGGTTTTGAATAATAATGGAAATTATGCACACACATTATTTTATGTATCATTAAAAAGAAAATAAAATTCAGTTATACTATGACTCAATGCTTTCTTATATTTTTAATTTTTATTTTATGATTATTGAAAGAATTCTTTTAGATCCATTTATACATAGATTTTTACAATATATCAGTCTTGTGGAAACATTGAAATAAAAATAAAGAGATAAAAGCAAAATTGTTTAATGCAACCTAAAACTTCGCATTCAGATTTTGACATTTCTTAAATCACTTTTTGACTCAAAATTGTCCATGTCCATATTTTTCTACTCAGCTTTGAATTCTGATGCTCATTCTACAAATTTGAATGTGCATTGGTAAGAAAGGACAGACAGCTTTGTCATGACTGCCTTCTGGCTGACAGCAATTATAAGATCCAAATCTACTTTTGAGACACTCAATTGTGAAAAATGTGCAAATGGTGTATGTGTATATATTTCATTAGAATCAATCAAACAAGAGTGTAGCAAAGGAAACATATATAAGCAGATATATTTGAGAAACATAAACACCAAAATAATAACAGCTAAAGTAATACTATTCATAATAATCACAATGATGTATTTTATTTGTGCCATTAATCATTACTAATCAGATGAGATTTTCCAAGCATGCATGCATTTTTGGTCAAAACGAAAGGTCCCTGCTTTGACATACCTCCTTTGCCACAAACACAATGAGTCAGGGAGATAGCAACTGATGATGCCTAGGAGTTCATCTCCCATAGGGTAATAACTTCATGCTGTTTGCTTCAGAACTCCTACAAATTTTCTGCTTATAAGTATTTTTTCCACACACAGGAATTCATATGTTAGAAATTTTTTTAGTCTTCCTTATAGCCATCCTTGAGAAAGGCTTGAAAGAAAGTGATTTACAATTATAAGAATCATGAATTGATCAGTGTAATTCAGTTTGCCAAAATGTATTTATCTAGAGGGTATGAAGAAAAAGGATTTTCTACTGATGTCAGAAACACTTGAAGATGTATTTGAATCCAGAAGAAAAACATGTTAATGTTTTTAGAAAGGACATAGATGTTGCTGGAATCCACATGGCCTTGGAATATAATTAAGTGAGTGGTACAGTTTCAAGTTGCATGAGCATGAGATTACCTTTTCCATTAGATTTCTAAAAGTATTTCTAAATAACCTAGATTCACTACTTATTTGCTCTGCTACCATTTTTAATGGCTCATAATGCAGAGGCAAGCTATTGTCTCTGAATAATAGAACTTTTAGGATTATCTATTCGTCAATTGGTTGCATTCTTACAGAAAGAGAAAATAAAGTTTATTGGGAAAATGACATAGTACCTTTAAAATATGCACATGAAATCAAGTACCCCAAATCAGAACATTCTTAATGTTTTCAATAAGTAATTACTCTGAGTGCATTAGTACATTCACAGACATGATGCTGAATATAAGAAATTAAATTACCTTAGATTTGGTAGCAGCAATAGAGTGGCGTCAACTTTAGTGAGCTGCCATAATTCAGATTAGATTATTATATTAATAATAGTGTATTATTATATTGAAAGTTTTACTTGTTTCTGATAACTTTATATGATATTCATAACAACAAATTATTTATCTTGAAGTATTGAAGCACTGACTGGAATTCCTCAGCATGGATCCTTCATATTTAGAGCTCAATATTAGCCCTTTACAAAAGTATTATAGCTACAAATGTTTAAAGACTCTAAATATGTGGCCAACCTCAGATTTAAAGGTGTCAATTATTACATATTATATAGTATTTTTTCTTTTCTGCTATAGCATATAGTAACCAAAATTGAACATGCAAAAACAAATTATTTTCTATTTCTTTGATGGTAAGCTTATCTCTTAATTGAGCATAGGAGTTATATTCAGCCTATGTCAGCACATAGACTACAAATTCACCATCTTAGTTCACCTTGTCCTTTGCTTTGTGCAGAGTATAGTAAGTGCTCTGAGGGTGAATGAAATTGTGATAAGCAAAGTTCTAATGATTGATTCAAATATAGAATGTCACCCTCTATGTTTCCTTATCTTGGATTGCAAATGTATCCTCATTACAGTTTATGCTGAATGAGAAAAGGAGCAGGCCCAGGTCACAATAAAATAAATATCTATATAATTTTTGGAAATGAAATAAATA
Source organism: Homo sapiens (assembly GCF_000001405.40). Taxonomy (NCBI): domain Eukaryota; kingdom Metazoa; phylum Chordata; class Mammalia; order Primates; family Hominidae; genus Homo; species Homo sapiens. The sequence goes on along the minus strand of NC_000007.14, from coordinate 93,513,895 downwards.
TTTATTTGTAAATGAAGTATCTATATATTTATTTGTAAATGAAATAAATATCTATATGTTTATTTGTAAATAAAAACAAATATCTACATATTTATTTATAAATAAAAACAAATATCTACATATTAAATACTTATTGCATGTCAACTGTTTTATGGACCTAACCTCCTTGAAGATCACATTAACACTGCAAGAGGGGCATTACAATCTCCATTTTTCAAATGAGAAAATGGAGTCTCAAAAAATTAACTTTTCGAAGGTCACACAACTTGTAAAGACCATAACAGAAATTCAGCTGTAGCTTACTCATTCCACGATGCCATCTGCAAAGTTTAAGTGGTTTTACTGAAAAACCAACCTTCTAGAAAACATTACATTTTATAATACATACAGAAACATTAAGAATGAAACATGGGACTACTACTCAAATAAATGGAAATATAAAAAGAGAAGAAATAGCTTTTAAAACCAGCTATTCTGTGAGAAAGCAGTGGTTCTATACTGTAGTATTTAATAAGGTGTCCTAGTAAATAAACCTATATATACTTCTTTTAATAGCAGATGTTATTAGAAAGATCTTTTTCATTTAAAACATTTATTACATAAATGATCTTCCTTTAAAATAATTTTTTTTCACATTCTATGTGGAACATTTGGGGCTGCCAATTGTCATTTGAGATTACTCATAGGTACCCTAATTTCCTCTGAAACCAGTATTACGTGAAGACCATGCTAGAAGTGCACTGAGAGGCAAAGCAGTCAGGAATCACAAGGAAGTGGCATTTCCAGGCTTTCTAGAGTGCAGAACAGTGTGGAGGCAGCAGCTCTGTGTCTGTATTTGGGCAATGGACATGTATTAGGAGAATGTTAATAGTTATTCCTAGCCTTCATGGGGTCTCTGGTTTACCTTAAATATTCTGTTTTGTTATATAACAGGCTTTACTGTCTTACTAATTAGATGCCAGCTCCTAAATACGATAATCATTTGTTGGAAGGAAAACAGTTATCATAAGTTATGTCAGTATTGCTGTTTATCAAGGAAAAAATTTTATGAGTGCTATTTAGAACCATAAAATTTTCCTTGGAATTATATGATACCCCTGCATGTGTAAGGGGCAGATGCAGCCAAATTGCATGGAGCTCTTCAAGAACTGCTGAAGAGCATCTTCCACTCTGCAAGAGAAATTGCCTTTTAATTAGCCTTTTCAGATTGTCTGTACAAGCCATAATAATTCATTTCATCAAAAAATATAATTATCTTAAATATTTTAGGATACTCAGCTGGATTTAATTAAGCAAGAGGATGTCCCTGTGTTTATACTCTTCAAATGGTTGCTGATTCCACGTAAACTTTACAAAAGTCTCATCTTATGTGCATTTTTTAAGGCCCTGAATTACTTTTATTACAAATTGTGATGCCATAAAAGAAAAGAAAGCCTTTTCTAAAAGAAGAAACCATCCTGAGGCACTGGGAGAATTAAAACATGAGCTGTACAGTCAGAAAGACTTGGGTTTGAATTTAGATTCCACCTCTTGCTAAATGAAAGACCATGGGCACGTCTCTTAATCTCTCTGGGATGCACTTGAGTTGCTTCCTCAATAAAATGAAGATGCAACGTACCATACAGGGCTGTTATGTAAAGTAAATAGCATGATGCCTGGTCACTCCAGGTCTCCAAACGTTTTGAGGTCCTTTCTGTAATAGTCACAAAGCATACTCTGCCAGACATGTAGTAAGAAGATTGAACATTATTCTGCCTACCTTTCAGCCACCACTGAAGAGGCCATAGTTAATGGGAACTGCATTTTAGCTGGGGCTTAGTTGGCTCCTAAGGAAGAGCATTAAGCTTGGCTGGTTCTAAGTGAAAGAAGTATTCCAACTGGAGGAAATTAAAACTGGGCGGATTTATGGCTGGATTTAACTGTGGGATCTGATAGTAACCTCCACCTCTCTACATTTACTTATATGCCCATAGCGCATGCCTACCCAGAAAAGAAGATTCTTTCTTTTGCTGGGTCCAATCTGCTGTTAAGCCCATCCATTGCATTTTTATTTCAGATATAGGACTTTTTCATTGCTAGAATTTCCATTTGCTTCTTTATTAAATTTTTAAAATGTCTCCTGAAATTCCCTACTACTTCATCCACAATGGCCATCATTCACTACAGTTTCATCCACTGTATTCATCATTTTCTGTAACTATTTAGTGTATGTTTAATAACTGTTTTAAAGTATTGGTCTGAAAAGTCCAACAACTGTATTGTCTAAGAATCTGCTATTTTTTTTTCCTATTCAAAAGGAATTACATTTTCCCACTTTTCACATATCTAGTAATTTTTTTATTGTGGATGATTCTCACCTCTGAGCATATACCAATATGTTCAATAAATTGTTGATAAAGTGATTATTATAAAACTCCATGTAAGCCTAGAGTTAGATCTCTCAACAATGGGAGATTTGTCTTAAACTCTCCCACATAACAATTTACTAAATTATATATTACTTAATTGTTTTTAAGGAATTTAGATTAAATTTTGAGTAGTTATGAAATATATATGACATAAAAATAATTGTATAATGAACACCCATGTACTAGTTTAAGAAGATCTTTAGCAGTACGTGTGAATTCTTCTCCAATCTCATCCACCATTCATTCCTTCCCACTCAGAAGTAACTTAACTTGTTATTCTAGAATTTTTAGTTACTGTGTTTATGATTTATTTTCTTAATTACATATGTTTGTGTCCCTATGCTATATAGATATAGCATATATATGCATATGTGAATATATATATATATGTAGAGAGAGAGAGAGAAAGAGAGAGAGGGTTTTTTTCACTAAGCATGTTTTTACACTTCTCTTTCCGCTCTCAATTCAAGGTCACCTTCTCTATGAAGTCTTCCCTAATCCCCCAGGCTCCATTCCCTAACTAGCTTTGCTTCCGGGCTTGCTCTTCCCCAACCCATTCTTCAAATAGAATCTCATCACTCTCCTAAATAATTTTTGTTTGTTTGTTTGTTTGTTTTTGTAGAGACAAGGTCTCGCTCTGTTGTCCAGGCTGGATGGAGTGGCAGTGGTGCTATCATAGCTCACTGCAGCTTTGAACTCCTGGGCTCAAGCAATCCTCCCGCCTTGGCCTCTCCGGTAGCTGGGACTACAGACACCTAGCTAATTTTAAAAAACTTTTATTTTGTAGAGACAGTGTCTCTTTATGTTGCCCAGGCTGGTCTCCAACTCCTGGCCTCAAGCAATTCTCCCAATTTAGCCTCCCAAAGCACTGGGATTATAAGCTTGAGCCACCTTACCCCACCCTCTTTAGAGACCCCTCATCTCTTTTTGTCCAGGCTTAGAAGTGAAGAATTTGGGGGATATACATGTGCAAGCTGCAGTGCTATCTGTAGTTTTAAATGTTCTCAAGTAACTAAAACTCCTTTGGGAAAGCTTTGCTACTCACTGATGGGTGCCTCCCTGGCCCACCAGATCAGATAGGAGTCTTCACCGGGCTGTCACAGAGAGACTTGGAGACTTTCTGACCTCCAGTGAAAGATGAACTCAGTGTCAATATTAACGAGGGACCTTTCCCCCATGGACATTGGACGGGTCCTAAGTAGCTCCTGATGTTACTCTGAACCAGAAAAACATGGAGTAGAGAAATGCCAGCCTACTCTGATTTTTAATAACAGCTTTTAGGAGAAGTCATAGTTTTATATAATCAATGTAAGTAATTATCGAGTACCCACCACTCTACTCTGAGTTCTGCTTTGATCAATGAAATAATAAATAAATGTCCTTGCTCGTGACAAAGAAATTTATACAAAGAAAAAAAATCTCAAAAGTCTTTAGTAAGAGTCGTTTATTCTTTATAAAGATATAGATCACTCCAAATCATCTCTGAAAAATCCCTTCTAAATTAAAAAAGTATTAAAAGCATTATAAATGTAATGCCCAACTAACTTGATTGGAGGGAAGTTTTAGGTCAAACAAATGATGTAAGTAAATGGTATTTTATGTATTAATCCTATAAATATCCACTTTTTGGGATTCAACTTAAATATTTCTAATTTTACCATAGGAATTTTTCAGTTCTGTATTTAGATTTTCATAATATAGTATTGTCATATATATAATTTATTTGATTCTAAGTTCGTAGTCAGGGACACAGTCTACAAATGCAACATTATTCCTGGAATAAATAAGATTAGCTTGAGTGAATGATTTTATTGAGTAAATAAACTGGAAACTTCTATATTTGGCAGAAAGTTAATCTCCACATATGTGAGTATTCCAAATGTTGCTTTGGCCAAAGATTTAGAAAGAAAATAAAGCTAGTTTCTGCTTTGAAAGCAGTTGGCCTCTAGAGTATTAGATTGATTCTAAATTGGAATTTTTTTGCTGAGTTGTCTTAAAAGTTTTTTCATTTTGTTTTGTTTTTGTCCTGTGTACTAAAGGGTCCAAAAAGATTTTGGGCTTCTGTTTATTTATATCATTTGACTTAGGAAGCCTATTAGTTCTTAAATGTTCTATTAGGATCTTTTCCTTTCCAGATAATATATTTCTAATACTTGAATTTTAGAGTTGCCTGCAACTCTAGGAGAAGGTGGCTCCTTAAATTAGATTTTCAGTAGTGAAAGGTAAGACTTCATCATTTCCTGTCTAAAACCCCATATTGTTGGGGGCAATTTAAAGAAATCTGGAGAAAAGAATTTTGCCTGGGAATCTTACGGGATCCCTCTCTGCCATGCTTTTACCTGAGCCAATATGGCACCATGCTTTTACCTGAGCCAATATGGCACCACAGTGTCTTGCTCTACTCAAATTCAAGAGGAGGGAACATACACCCCACCTCTCAATGGAAGAGTGTCCATTTCATCTTATAAGCAAATCACATGAGATGAGATAGAATAGCTAGGTAATTTAGTTTTAGTGCGGGAGTAGGAAAGAGAAACCCAAATTCTCAATTTTTAACACAGCGCTACAGAAATTACTCCTCTGAAATCAGGGAGACATTACTACAGGGGTACATTACTGCATGTACCTAGGGTCACTAGGTACATGGACAGTAAGATCTTACAGACCAAGTATAAATTCCAAATCTCCCACTTCCTCATCTGCAAACCTGCTTTTCTCTGAGGGTTGTTGAGAGTTAATTTAGGTAATGAAAGTAAAAGCCTTACACCACTCTTGGCACACAGCTATTATAACAAACAGATCACTACATGGATTTACCAGAAATCTTAGCCTTCTACCTGTAATGCCTTGACTAATCTTCATTTCAAACAGGGTTAGTTAAAAATAATTCAATGACCCTACCCATTAGACCATTCAACTACTTTTTAAATTTGTAACTCTGCTTATTTGCTACATGAGAGTTCAACAATGGTAATAGAAGCAGAATTAGAATTAAGGCTTAAATTCAATAAAACTGCATATAAAAGTAATTCTATTTAATAGTTTGATTGAATTTTGTTAAAAATTAAAAAAAAATTTGTTTAAAAAATAATGTTCCACCCTCCTTTGTGAGTCCACATGCTCTCTGATAGCCACAGTTTTGAGAGTGTAGTATGCCCAACTGGAAAATATACTACTTTTTGCTTTGATTCATTTTCCCCTTTTCTTGACTAAGCACATTGAGGGGTTTTCTTTTGTTTTTGTTTTTGTTTGGTAAAATATCCAATATATACATTAGAATTATCTTATGTCAACATTTGTGAAATAAGTGCACACTTATTTTTCTTTGGCTATATGCCAAATGGCAATATATGTGTGAATTGTATTTACTGCATATGTTTTCATAAGATTCTCTGAGCATATCTTATGAAATATCATAAATTGGTTCTAGAACTTGTAAGTTAATCAGAAATTCTAGGTTTCAGGAAATTGGGTATATTAATTCTTAAAATGAAAATCAAAGAAAGGTTGTCTTCTTCATCTTGGTCCATGTGAACAATTTTTTCTTTTTTTTTTCTTTTTTTTTGAGATGGAGTCTCACTCTGTCACCCAGGATGGAGTGTAGTGGTGCCATCTCGGCTCACCGCAAGCTCTGCCTCCCGGGTTCATGCCATTCTCCTGCCTCAGCCTCCCAAGTAGCTGGGACTACAGGCGCCCGCCACCATGCCTGGCTAAATTTTTTTTTTTTTTTTTTTTTGTATTTTTAGTAGAGACGGGGTTTCACCATGTTAGCCAGGATGGTCTCGATCTCCTGACCTCGTGATCCACCCACCTCGGCCTCCCAAAGTGTTGGGATTACAGGCATGAGACACTGCGCCTGACCTTCTTTTTTTTTTTTAATGCAGACTTCATCAGCTTGATTTTAGTTCTGCACAAACAGTGGTGGAGGGAAAGGTTTCTTTGGTTTCTTCTGCTTTTCTTAGTCACTTTCTTTCCTTGGCACCTGATTCAACATCTAGGCTGTCTCGAAAACCCTACACTGAGGGCCCCTCATGGCAGCACCACTGTTCTTTTCTGTCCTGGCTCCTTACCCTCCTCACTGCTCATTGCCCTGACAGCTGGCTCTCCCTTTGAAGTACTGCTCCTAAACTAATGTTTTCTCCATCAGGCATTAACTGACATATAACACTTGACTTGTCCTTCTGACCCCACTTCTTTTTAACCACTTTCTCACCTTATTAGTCTATTTACTCGTGTGTGTGTGTGTGTGTGTGTGTTCAACAAGGAAGTATTCTGGGCCTCCTTGTTACATTAAGGCTGCTTACTCTTCACTGACCCTAAATTAATTCTAATTTGGCCCTTTGGGACTTTATTCTTTCCTGATGTATTAGTCCATTCTCACACTGCTAATGAAGACATACCTGAGACTGGGTAATTTATAAAGAAAAAGATGCTTAATGGACTCACAGTTCCACATGGCTGGGGAGGCCTCACAATCATGGCGAAGCAGGAGCAAAGGCATGTCTTACATGGTGGCAGACAAGAGAGCATGTGCAAGGTAACTGCCCTTTATAAAACAATCAGATCTCATGAGACTTATTCATTATTATGAGAATCGAATGAGAAAAACCCACCTGCATGATTCAGTTACCTTTCACTGGCTCCTTCTCATAACAGGTGAGGATTGTGGGAACTACAATTCAAGATGAGATTTGGGTGGGGACACAGTCAAACCATATCACCTGATTATTAAGCCAACTTCCCAGAGGAAAAGTTCATGCATAGGAAAATAAGCTAGGAAGCTGAGAATCTGCTGGTCTTATGCCCCACAACCACCAAGTGAAGCCAAAAAAAAAAAAAAATCACAATCAACAACTGTTTGACCAAATAGTTCAACAAACAATTGAGCCATCTGGATATTTGGTAGCGTGTTATAACAACAGAATCCTGTTTGTTTTCTACAGGGCCATTTAGTAATTTTTGTCTGTAGTGAGGAGATTGTTGCTTTTTGCTTGTTTGAAGGACATTAAGGAAATACACTAAGTAGCATTAAACACTACCTCTGTGACTGCTCTTAAAGTCACTGTGAGTTGGTTATGAGGCCTCAAGTGTGCAAATGAGAAACACACCTGCAGGAGAATATGGATGAGAAACCATGAAATTGGTCTTTAATAAAAACAATGTCCTAAACTTATGAACCTCCCCAAAAAACCTAATCCTCCTTCAGTGTGCCCTATCTCAGCCAATCCCATCTGCATCAGACATATTGTAAAAGCCAGAAACCTAGTGAAGCGGCATCATTTTCTGGGGTAAATAACTGGGGTTCGTCATCTCATACCAAGAAAACTAAGGACACAGACACACACAGAGAGTGAGTTTAGGAGTGATAGTTTAATAGGCAAAAGAAAGAGAAAGAACAGCTTTCTGTCTTTTGAGAGAGAGGGACACCTGAGTGGGACATTTGGCCTGAGGTGGAGTACACCGGATTTTAGAGACAGGCTTGACAAAGCAATATCTGATTTACATAGGGCCCAAAGATTGGTTGGACCAGGTGTGATGTTTACATAATATGTGGGGCCCCTAATCTTATTATGCAAATAGAGTCTTTGCCTAGCTGGCACCTTGTTACCTGCTCCTTCCTGTACACGGGGCTGGCAAAGAGAAGGGAAGGTGGAGCCGCCATTTTGAACATACCTAGTCCCAGGTGGCCTTTTAACCTGTATAAACTTCTAGCTAGAATGGGATGGTAAAAAGAAGTGTGTGCGCGTGATTTTGCCTCCTATTTTGCACGAGAGAGGTTCTCTTTTTATCCTATTTTGTAGACATGGCTTATCTACTTCTCTCTTGATTTAGTCTTTCTAACGTATTATAGTGGAGATAAGAAGTTTAGCAAAGTTCCCTGAAGGAAGGAGACAGGGTTGAGAAGACGGGAGAGAAAGACATAGTGAAATGTTCACAGAAGACCATCCAGCACATACCTGATTCCCATTGCTGTGTATACACTTTGTAAATTTGGACAAGTTCTTTCTCCTCCCTGAGTCTTGGTTTCTTCATTTTCAAATGAGGGTTTCATATTAGATAATCTCTAATGTCTGATTGTCTGACTCAAACATCTTTCGTGACTAAACTTTCCCGAATCTATCACACTAATTCATATCCTTCCACATGTCCCAAGTTAAAGTACGACTATTTTCACAACCAATGTATCAAACTCTTCCTGCTTTGACAAAAACAGATGCAACTGGATGTGCCAACTGATTCTTTGAAAAGGAAACTCAAACTATTTTTGGGGGGGAGTTCTGCAAAGAACATTGTGACTACTGAGTTTTTATAGGCTTTTTTTTTTCCACTTAGCTATATCTAGTCTTATCTAGACATCATTGAAAATATGCTTGAATTGCAGGCCTTTTTCAGGTGTCCTTGAAATTACTCAGAACCGGTACCTTCCTTGACACTTCTTTTTATTAAATAGTATAGGTGGTGGGACTATATCAGGAGTGGCAGACATAAATTTCCATAGGGGCCCCACTGCTTATACTATAAAAGCTCTTTTTGCAGCAGCATCTTCAGAGAGGAGGTGAGATACCACATGGAAATATTGCTGCACCCCTAAGATTCTTGCATAAGTCTTGTATGGGTGCGTCTGCTTTAGATAGAACTTGGAGATGTCAGTCACAATTATTACCAAAGTGAATAGATAACACTAACTCAGTCTTCCTAAGAGAATACCAGAAAAGATTAACTGGACAGATTTTACCTCATTCTTATGGCATGAAGTTATTTTATTTCAGGAAACTTAAATTCTTTGTTGTACTAAATTAAAAAAATACAGTTTTGCTTAGGGGGAAAAAGGAAAGAAAAGGAATAGTAGTTGAGGATATTGAACATTTTGAACACGTATCTCTCTTAGGTCTTAAAAACTTATGGATCATGGTAGACATATTTACGAGTACTATTTGAATGTCTTCCCAAGATGGCAGATCACAGGTTTTACATACGGTGGGAGAAAGAAAAAGACGCTGTTGAGCAGAGGAAATAATACATGGTTAAAGAATTTCTACCAGAATTCATTGAGCACCAAATATTGCTGAAGTTAGATATTGAAACTATCTCATGGTCTATTACTTTGCAGTCAGGGGTTTCCTTATTTCCAGCACAGAAATAACTATTTTTAGCTATACTTAAACAATATTACAATGATAGTGTTTTTAGGGAAGGCAAGTGTGAAATGTAAGATAGAATTTGTTGGTTTTTTTCCCTGTTGGGGGGAATTTCCAAAGAAGCCAAACAACAATAAGAATTAAAATGGGAAATGTGGGCAATTTTCTATAATATCACTGAATGCTTTCTGTCTTTGTTTGTATATTGTTGGAAGCTGTACTTATGGGTCTATTATGACTATTCTTCATTGGCCACTGAGATTAATTTCCCTTTATAATTTTGTAATTACATTTGTGAAATACATTTTTTAACACCTAATCACCACCAGGGCACTCTTAAGAGATGTAATTAGAAAGCCCATCAGACATTCTGTCTTCAGTGTATTGCTAATTGTGTTAATTCATTTTTTTATTGCAACTTGCTGTTGATATCATGAATGAAGCCTTCATTATAGAGAATAGTTCTCAGTGAAATGGCATTCCCATTGGTTTAAGAGCCTTCTTTTAATTTGAGGGTTGTTCCTTATTGGGGATTATTGTCAAACTTTTTAAAAAGTATATTTCCAGTTATCTGAAGACAGATTGAAAGCAGACCCAAGCAATTAAGGTGAGACAAGTATAACCTCCCTCTTTCCCCTACTATTTTCTTATTCTGTACTCCAAAGCTACGCCATAGGGAACATTCCTATCAGCAACAGTGCACAAAACACAGAACAAGAACAAGATAGTTCATTTCCTCTTTTCTTTTTTTTCAAAAGCAATTCCCGTCAATGTTGCAAAAATTAGAAAATGCAGGCAAGCAAAATCAAATCAAATCAAATCAATCACTTTCAATCCCACCATCTGGAGAGGTTCTAGTACCATCTTTGTCACCTTGCTGTGGAAACTTGTGCAATTTTCCTCTGTGTCGTGTGTATGTGTATGTGTGTGTGTGTGTGTGTTTCTAATTATTTGCTTTCTCCTTCCTCAGAAAAAGCATATGTATTCATGATATGTTAACTTTGGCCTTAATGTTGTAACTTGCTTAGGGCAATAGGGTGTGAGTAGTTATGTCTTACCTCATCTGAGCAAAGCGTTGCTCCCCTGGCAGGACCATCCTCTGCCCTGAGAACAGCATATTCCAGACGAGTGTTGCTCCATCAGCCCTGGTCACAGAGAGAAAATCATGTGGAGCAGATCCACAGAGGGTGCTTCAGCTGCCCCATAGTTATCATGTAACTTGAGGAAAAGAAAAAATCATTTCTTTTAAAAAACTGAGATTTGGAGGTTATTTTTTACATAGCAAATCTAGTATTTTACCTAGCCTCTCTAAGACTCAGTTTTCATGGCTGCAAAATTACAGTAACAATAATAGTATCTACATGCGAAGGCTATTGAAAAGATTGAAGGAGGTAATACGTGTATACTCATAGTGCCTGCTGCATAATATTATATTCTTCAAGCCTTTTTTCTATTCATATATAAATATATATTTACAAAAATCAGATTATGTCATACATTCAGTTTGTAGTCCCTTTTTAAAGTAATAACATACCAAAAACATCTATCTAGATAATTAAATATTCTAGTACACAATTTTTAATGGCTGCAGAGTATTCCATTAGTATCGGTGTGCCAAAGATTAACAAATTCATTATTTTGGACATTTAGATTACTTTCAAATTCCACTGCATTAGACAAAGTTATGATGGACATTTCTACAATCAAATCTGGACCAATTTATAATATCAAGAGGAAAAAAACCTTAGTCAAAGGGTCTGGATGTTTTAAGAATTTTGGCATATAGAGTTGTTTACAGCTTACAAACTTATAATGTTAATACAGCGAAACTTAGCCAGAAGATAGTTATATAATCTTTAAGAGTAGATCAATTAAAGAAAAAAATCATTGACAACTTATTTTCAAACTTCATTATTTTCAATGGGCATGTTTATTTAAATACGTATGTTTCTAGAATCAGTGTGAAATGTGGAAAGAAAATAGATTTTGAAGTAAGAACTGTTTTCAAGTTCTGTCTCTGCCGCTTATTGACTGTGAGATCTTAATCAAGTTACTTAACTTCTGTGAACCTTTATTTCCTTATATATAAAGTGGAGATTTAAATGCCTATTTGCATTTCATAGGAGGATAATGTAATGTGTATAAATTGCCTGGCTTCTATATGCATTCAGTTCATTTTAGTTCCTTCCTTCCTTTCCCACTAGTTATCCCCTACTCCCAACCCCTCTTCAAAAAAGGAGTCCATTTTAATGTTTTAATTTGGCCAAAGACTACCATATATTCTTGTGTATCAGCCAAGAAGGATAACAGACAGAGTTTCTTGATAAACATTAGGTTTCATCTATATCTTTCCAAAGAATATCAGAATTTTCTCTCAGAACAGAGAACAAGATTGGAGCTCTGTTTCCTGTCACCCACCTGGCAGCAATTAGTTCAGGACCCAGAACCTGCACATTAGCAACAGCAGAGAAGCAGTGAACTTAAGTTAGAGTCAACTGTCAGTTGGAGAAGCTATTGTTAGTCAGGGTTCCTTTAGGGAAAGCGACAGATCCTGCTCAGATTAATTTAGTCAACTCAGTTATTTCAATTCAGCTCATTGACTTTGCATAAATTCTGGTTTAGTTCTGCACTGCGTCCTTTAGCTCCTATCACTGAATGCGTACTACCACCAGAGAGAGGTGAGGAGATACAAGATGTCTTAGAAATATGAGTCAGCTATCAGAAAAATATGAATCGGATTACCTATGGATCTAAGTCATGTAGATGCCTCTAGACACGTTCTGAAATAACTGAACTTCTCAGTTATTATCCCATCTGCATCCCCAAACAAAATCACATTAGTTCAGATTAATTCTTTGGTATTCCTGATTAAGTTTGTGGGGTTGATTAAACCTTGTTTTATGTGCTGTAATTTTTTATATACTTAATTTTTAAAAAGTGAACTGGTGATTTCATCATTGTACCTCATAAATTTGTAAAATTATAATGTGCCAATTTTTTAAACGTGAACTGGCAAGGTGAGTCATATGCAAGTTTCTCACAAGGACTAAGCTTTCTTGAATAAAGCAGGATGTTCAGTTCACCTGAAAAATTAAATTGCACATTGAAATTGACTTTAACATCATCATTTTAGATAAAGTTCGTCAGATCAGACCACTGATTCTTAGCTCTTAGGGTCATGGTGGGAAACAACTGCTATGATGAGAACTATTTGTATATCGTTGCTGACATTTAGAGATCCAACTTGGTTGGCCATCCCTTATATCATTAATCTCACTTAATTGCTCTGTTTTTCAAGGGAATCTAGACAATTTTACAGAACCTTTTGAACTACTTACACAGCTGTGAAGAAAGGATAATTTCCAAGGGCACTCAAATTTCAGGAAAATGGATTCTTAAATAATTTAATAGGAAGAAAAGGAAAGTTTGTAATGATTAAATTACATTTGATGGTGCTTTTCTTTATTAGTAAATATATGCACTGAAATTGGAAATGCAGGAGCAAGCTTGTCTTTTATAAGGTTCTAGATGAAATATCTTTGTATGAAATCCCATAAGTGGTGAGAGGATTGGGAGATATGTGTATTAAGGGGGTGCATGAGGATAGCTCCCATTCAAGCTTTCTCTGCAATACAGAAAGACTCCGTAAGAGCAAGTCCTGGATTTGGATTCAGCAAATATTTGATGAGTGAATTTATAAACACAGTAAGTGCTCTGCTTCATTCTACCCCACCTCCATTTCTGCAAACACAAACATACAAAGATAAATGTATGTACAATGCATAGCAAGGTTATGGGGGAGAGGCAGAAAATTAAGAACCCCAGACTGGTTTATTGCTAGTAAGTATTGGTACAACAGGGCCTGTGGCTAACAGCCAGCAATTGTTCTAATTGGTGGATGTTGCAGTGGCAACAATTGTTAAATACGTTGAACAACACCCCAGATGTCCTTTTCTTTAACCTCATTTTATTCAAGTCTAAGCACTTTCTTTCTTAAAATAGTCTTGATATCAGAACCAAACAGAATGTTAAAGGTGACTAAGAGAAATTAAACTGGGCAAGAGGATGAACTATCATTATGGTTATTTCTACCCCTACTAGACCAAGCTTTAGAACTTCACTGCAGAATATTGAAGCCAACTAGGAAAAATCTTTAATGCGAGACAGATTAGTAATTTAGAACATGAACTAGGTTGGACCCTATGATAGAGTTTTAATTAGAGCTCTTCCACTAACTTTCAAACAGATTTAAAATAAATCATTCAGTAGGTTTTCTTTTGCTCATCTATAGAGTGAGAAGTTGGGGATATTTGAATTCTAAGATCCCTTCCAGTTTCATCATTTAATAAAATCAGTTGTACTTTATTCTGAAAGAGGATTTTTTCAACAGTGTGTGTATAAGGACAAGATGATATTTTGTATAAGGACTATATCTTAATCCCACCATTTTAAATTCCTGTTGGTATTTATAGAATGGTTTCGTATGTATGTGGCATTGACTTCTACATAAATATTTTAAAACTTGGCTTAAAAGAGTTTATAACTTATGGCAACCAATTTAGTTCCACTCAGTAAGTCTCCTGTGTAAGATATAATAGAAGGGTAATTCATCAGTATTTGTGAAAGTGGACTTTCAAAACCAAGCACCAACATATTTAACCAATCATATATTTACCAGAGTTTCACTTAGCCAAACAAGCATGGCAAAGTCCTGCGATTTCTTTTCCAATATAATAAAGAAATGCTGATAAGTCTGCAACATTTACCTTTTACTGCAGCTTTTTCTGCTAATCAAGAGACCAACATACTTTTCATTCAGGAAATCAATGGAAGTCAATTATTACCCAGACGTGGCCATCCATTCCTTGAATGTCCATTGCACATTAATATTGGTAAATGTAATTAGAAATAACAGCTAATTTAAATGAATTTATTTAGAGGATCCATGGTTGCAGAATTTTGCAGAACTTTTAATATCCTAACATACTTGCGAATTTCCAGAGAAGAGCACGTGGTATTTCACATTTCACAAACTTTGTTCCAGTGGACTGCTCATTCCTCTTTTTGTTATTAATGAGTGTTCACAGAGATCATATTTTGTAAAACCAATGTGGAAATTCTGTTTTAGTTTATTTTCTATTACAATGTCAAGTAGAGTCAATATTTATCTATACATTGCTATCTTGTCTCTGTCTGCCAAATACATGTTTTGTATTTTAGTGATGGTTACATTAGAGCCTATCTTGGAGTGAAAAAGACCTTTAATTATAGTCCAGTTGTCTAATTTTATAAGTAATGAAATGCATGCCCAGAAAGATATAGTAACATGCTTAAGAGTCATGTGGTGAGTTTGAAGTTCTTCTGGGATTACAATATGGATCTCTTATTCCTTTGCCCACTATTTTTTTTTCCATTATGCCATACTGACTTTTCTTCTAATATTTGCCATAGTTGATCTTAACAGAAGTTGAAAAGTTACAAGGAAACCTTGAACATGCTAATTACAATCAGTTTCTCAAAATAGAAGACCCTTCTGATAATTCAATTTCCATTTGTCCAAAACTGAGTTTACTTTATTCTTCATATATGACAGTCTATATGTAGTGACTAAGAACACAGATTTTGGAATTAGCCCACTTAAGATTTCTTCAGTATGCTTAGTGATTCCAGTATCTTCATGCTTATCCTTTAGATTGGATTATTTTTCTCCCAATCTCTCACATATCGAAGTTTGGCTTCATCTTAAGAAAGCATTGAAACACATCTAATAAATGCATGATGTATTTTTAATTAAATTGATTTGAATCAAAGAGTTTCTATCTCCCCTTTATCATGGCTGCTATTAGAGTTCCGATACTATAAAGTATACGTGAGGTTACAATGCCTTTTTCTTAAATTAGTTTTAATTAGACAGATCATAACCAATTATCCATTAATAATAGCCATTTGGGTAATGGCACAATTCTGAACTGCACACAATTCTGAACCATTTCTCTAAGATCTCCTTGTTTATTAATGTTGCCTGACCAACTACTTAGATGTCATGTATTTGTTCATTCATTGAATGCTTATTGAGCACTTACTATGTGCAAGGCTTTGTGTTGAGTCTTGTATTTAACCACTCTGTTACACAGGATGTGGTACTCAAATTCGAAGTAAAGTCTACTTATTTTTGAAAACTTCCACCAAACTAGTATACATCATTGCTTCATTTTAAATCTTATATCATTGTTTTGTTTCCCATTAGCAAGTATAATTAAAGTCACTTAAGGAGATGGGTCTTAGAGTAGAAATTCTGACAAAAACGTGACCAGTAACTTTTCAAAATTTGTCAAGTAGTTTACACCATTTCCACCAGGGTTAGGCTAGCATCTTGGAGTAGAAATGTGCTTTCTAGCCATTTCCCCTTAATAGCTGGAAATATATATCCATGCTGGATTATTCCTACCAGGGATTTCTGGACTGTGGGCTTTTGGTCTTTGAACTTCTAGGCAGTGATAATAAAAACATCATCTATGTGCTTAAAAATAACAGTGAAAATAACATATGAGTTGATAAATAGATATAATAGAGATCAAGAGTGATTTGAGACTGGGTTCTCCATGGAAACTGAAAAGATATGAAGGACATGCTGTTAGATCTTCTCCTCATTTATACCCTCAAAAAACATGTATTGAACAAGTATGATATGGAAAGCCCTGGGCTGGTTGTAGTCAGGGATATTGTTAAAACAGAAATAGCTTGGTGGTTGGAGAGACCACTCTGAGGGCACAGGACTAGGAGTCAGAACACCTGATTTGTCTACTCAGTAACTTCATGACTGGAAACTAACCTAATCTCCTAATCTCCTTGAGCTTTGAGTTGCTCATCCACAAACTAAGTGTAAAAGGAGAATCTACAACATTTTGTCTTAAGAACTAAATCAAAGAACATGTATGTAAGAATCTAGCATGGTACTGAAAACACAGTAACTATTAAATGCTAATTAGATGATGTATACACATAATGCAAGCTACAAAGTGGTTAAGTTTATAAGAGCTCAATGTGCTCAATAAGAGCTAAGTTAGCATGATGATGTAAAAATACATAGCTGAGTCAGGTCATTGACATGAGTAAAAGAAAAAGTCTTATTTCTTTCAATATGACATCATTTTTATTCTGTTTCCCCTATCATCTGAATTATTTCTCTTACATTGTGTGTCACACTGTTTACCCAGAACAGCTCTCCAATGCAGAAAGTGCCAAGTCTTTCTACCAGCTAGACTTGGAGCCTGGATTTAGATAGACATTTTAAACTCATGAGGAGAGTAGGAAGACACTCTGTTTTGCTTTATGTGGCAACATAAATTGGGTTTATGGCCATATTATGCCTTGGCAAGTTAGTTCCTGTAATAATGAAGAATGATTTTCAAATAGGTTATATAATCAAGGAGTTATCCAAACAGAAGGCTTTGCTGTGGCAGCAAACCAGCCTATCCTGTGGTTTCACAAAATTCATTTGCTTATTCACTTAGACTGCATCTACAGAAACATATTAAATAGAATTGTCTAGAAAGAAATGCCAAATTTTGTATTTGAAAAGATTCTAGGCCTTGGGTGACAACAGCTCATAGCTGTTTTGAGACAAGCCATGTTCCTTTTCACTACTCTTTGCCCACATTCCTCATCCTACTCCTTGTTCTCATAGCCAAGATATTGGTGGAAATGTTCTTGACAAATACTGCTCCAAAGGAATAATCGCCTGTGAGATGCCCATTATAGTACTGGGCTTTGTACCAAGGCTAGAGAATGTTGAAGGCCTCAGAAATTCCACTTTTGCTTCATGAAGGGGAAAGAGAGAAAATTATAAGTGAAAGGGCAGCTCGTTCTCATGACTTGCAGGCTTAATCAACTAGAGTGGTTTAGAAATTGCCATTGAGCTAAAAGAGCATTTTCCAAAGGATATTCTATAGATGGGTTATTAATTGTTATCACACCATAAAAGTGTTTCATGGTCAATCAGGTTTGGGAAATGAAGAGTTAACATCAAAGGGGTCTTTTTCGTACAGAAAAATTAGAGTCTTTAAAGTGCTAATGTCTATAGTAAATCTCTGAGAGAATAGGAAAGACTTAATTTCCTAAACTTATTTGGCCATGGAAACTTTATTTTATGCTGCTTCTCATGGGATTGCTGCTCTTCTATGGAACATGCTTTTGGAAATGCCAATCTATAAGAATAGACACATTATTTTCAGACATTGACATTTTGTACTCTTTCCACAAAAAATAAAGATAATTTAACTTTGCTTTTCAAGTAAATTTGTTCCCCTTACATGAAGACATTCTGTTCAATCATTATCATTGATTTACTGATTTTCATTTTATTTATTCACAGAATAAATGATTCCCACTGATCCACCCACTTTTGCCACCCCAGGATGCAATTTTCTGGAGAGAAGATTAGTGGCAAGTGCCCATTTGTGGATACAAACCAGTATAGATTCGGTTGTCCCACCAGTAACTGAACCTCTTACAATGGTTTCTTCATTTGCATGTTCTAAATCAGCCACAACAATCAGATTTTTAGGCTCCACATTGATCTGGTTTAGGGTCTGCATTAACTCTGGCAGGATGGGGCTCCTGTCCAGGTTTTTGTTTGAAAAAAGTGGTTAAAAGATATGCCGGAAATCATTACCCTAAGGAGCCAGATTACTGAGACAGGTCTTGTATACTTCTCCTATTCAAGGAGGGCATGACTAAGTAGTCATTCTATAGATAAGAAGCTGGTATAAAAGTGAAACTCTTTGTTCAAAAATAATAATAATAAAGGGAGAAGCAGAAATTAGAATTTTTTGGCTCCGCGAGTAGGGCACTTTAAGTAAAGAACAATGCTTCCTGTCTTACTAAATTATAGATTGACATTCCTTAGGTTCTGTCCCTAAATTATCCCTTAAACCAAGCAACCAACATTTACTAGCATTTACTATGTTCCAGGCTCTTCTCTAGGTTCTTGGGTTGCAAGAGTGAACAAAATCCTTGCTATGGAGATGGTAATTCATCAAGAAGCAAGTAAACAAATAATCTTATGTCAAAGTTAAACTTTGTTTTGATTTTCTTTGAGTGATCTTCCTGGTGTACCAGATGATTTTCTGGTTGCAGGTCTTCTGTATCACCTATTTCCATTCCAATTTGAAAGTTCTCAAGGTGCATTTCATACCCACTAACTGCTGTTTGGTGATACTGTCCTTTCTACCTGGGTCCAGGTTTCACTCTCTAAGGCTCAGGTCAGCTATTCTCCTGAAGGTCACTGAACTGTGAACATAACAATATCACCTGGAATCTTGCCTGTTTTAAATCCTACACTAATCAGTCTCTAGATTCCACCCCCAATCTATCCATCCTTTCATTCTGTCTTTTAATCATCTCTTCAACTAAGCCATTGGCCTCTGTCAGTTCATCCCGGATTTTCCACAGTTATCACTCTCATTAACTCTCTCTCCCATTCTTTTCTTCCTTCTAATAATCTCAGGAAAGAGAAATTATCTCATTCTTCAGCCTGATTCTACTCTTCCTTGCCTGCTTTTCTCTCTCAAACTGATAAAGCACCTCCTTTCTTCACAGCTCTACCTGTATATGTTTTCTTCTCCCCTCCTCAGGAGTCACCATAAAGTGCTTTTTTTCAAAAAACCATATATCTACAAGGCATTGTTTAACCCAGGACAACTGCAGTGCAACTTTTCTGACTAGAGGCAGGCTTGGTGAGCAGAGATCTACTATAGTTTGGGCATGAGGCATTTGTTATAGTTCCAAATAATGCAAGTCTTTAAAATTAAGACCTCTTCAATTAATAGGCAAAACAAAAGAAATTGTTTCTTATCTAAATCCCCTCTGTTGTTTCCGAATATTCACTCTCAGATCTGTTTTCATACTATTTTTGTTCTCATAAGCTGTTTGTGATACATGTGTAAATGTCATGTGTGGGGCTTTAAGACCATGGGGGTCCCCTTTTCTACAGCAAGATGACTGTGCAGCCCATTCACCTTAAAGTGACAAGTCTCCCATTGCCTCCAATGCTCCTCATTTTAATAACACTGTTGAGTCAAACAGCAACTTCTACATTGCAAAATATCAAATACATGACATGGATGGTACCATGTACTATCAATTAACCATCCAATCACCACATATTCACCTTCATAAAGAAGCTGGTTTCTCGCCATATTAGCTCTCACATTTGGAATTAATGAGTAGGATCATGTCAAGAGGAGATTTGGCTTTTAATTCTGGCACCACCCGTGGTGTTCTACATATCCTTCTTCTCTCAGAGGCTACATTACAGGACAATCATGAGCAGTCACCTTTAGGAATTTAATGTATGTCTATGACTTCTTTGTACTTTGTAAAATGCAAGATGTAGACAAAGAAAACTGTGTCAGTTTCACAAGTATGTATACATCTCAAAAACTCCAACTTTCACACCAGGAAATAAGTCTCACCCAATATATGGAGGTAGTGTATTCCCAATCAACAAGAAAGACACAAATTAAAAGTTTGCCTCCTCCACCTACTTTCCTCTCCTGAATTTCTTATCTGTCCTTTTAGCAGGCCACAAATCTAAGAGACAATTTTAATTTTTCTCTATTTCTCTTCATGATCACACTGGTGCTTGTTACTTTAAGGGGGTCCTGTATTGTATTCCTAGCCAATGGTTCTTTGCACTAACTTAAAGTTTGTAGGGAATTGCTAAAGAAGAGTAAAATTGCACTCATTTTAATATAGAACACGAGTTGGAGGGATTACAACTTGAAGCAGGGAAACTGGTCTAGAGGCTGTTGCCAGGGAACTGAAGAGAAAGATGGTGACCTGCACTAAGGTAGTAGATAGGATGGACATGTTTGAAAAGATCCCAAAATGCAGATGGAATCAGAGAGTCCTAGAGACTAGAAGCTTGGAATGAAGAAGTGAGTGGAATCAGGAATGATCCCAACTTTCTCATTCATACAATTCATGGATAATTGTGGAAGACACTGATATGAGAAATGCAAGAAAATGGACAGAGAAAATAATACATTTAGATTTGCCAATGTGGTGGTGTGGTGAGGATATAGTTGTAAAAAATCAGAATTCCATGTTTTATTTAACTCATTAGATCACAAGCCACCATCATTATCAATAATAATAAACATGTGTATGCAATTTTGTGATGTGCCAGAGATATATAGCTATCTAAAAAATAATTCTTATCTGAAAGGGTTTAGCATTAGGTAAGGTTGTTAGGATGTGTATTTATGTAGATGAAAATACATAGAAATACACAGAATGCCAAATGGGTAGTTTGGGTAATAAATTTCCTAAGCACTCAAAACCTACTTTTTTAGCCCAATTTCCACTTCCTAAGAGGCTTTATGCTCCAGCTAAATTAAACTATTATATTCATTATTCTTTAGTTATCCTAAGTTTTCCTAGATCCATATGTTGTTTTTATGTGCTTTCTCTGACTAAGAGGTCTTTGCTTTTCAAAACCCTATTCAGGTTTTCAAATTTTATCTCAAAATATAATTCCCTCCCTGATCCCCCAATCAAAAATTATATAACCATCTTATAAGGCCCTATATTTTTGCAATTTCATTGAACCTTTCACCCAGTCTGCATTTGAGTTATTTTGCCACATCTTATATCATTTATACCCTTCCCCACTCAGATGCTCAACTTCTTATACTGGAATCATATCTCATCCAGCTCATATTTACATTTCATGTAGTGCCTCAGCACTTAATACGTGTGTGCGTGTATGCTTCTAATTTACTGAGTGGACTTGAAATAAATCAGAAACAATGAATAATGATCAACATATAAAATGATGTTTCAAAATTATAATTTACATTCTCAATTTCCTGTTATGCCAATAGGTAAACTGAATAGAATTTACCCTTTTGGGGACAAGTATAATAGGCATACATTGTAGACAGTAATTTATATCTGGAAAAATCTGTAAATACTTTTTTTTTACTATTTTTGTTTTTTAAAATATGTGAGTGCATATTTTATTTTTTTCTTTTTAAAAAATAAAATTTTTACACCTATTGACCTGTCCTCTAAGTTTCCTCCCTTCGCACCCCTCCCACCAACAGGCCTTGGTGTGTGTTGTTCCCCTCTCTGTGTTCATGTGTTCTCATTGTTCAACTCCCACTTATGAGTGAGAACATGTGGTGTTTGGTTTTCTGTTCCTGTGTTAGTTTGCTGAGGATGATGGCTTTCAGCTTCATCCTTTGCAGGGATATGAGCTCATTCCTTTTTATGGCTGCATAGTATTCCATTGTGTATATGTACCACATTTTCTTTATACGGTCTATCTTTGATGGGCATTTGGGTTGGTTCCATGACATTGTTATTGTAAATAGTGCTGCAATAAACATACGTGTGCATGTGTCTTTATAGTTGAATGATTTGCATTCCTTTGGGTATATACCCAGTAATGGGATTGCTGGGTCAAATGGTATTTCTGGTTCTAGATCCTTGAGGAATTGCCATACTATCTTCTACAATGATTGAACTAATTTACATTCCCACCAACAGTATAAAAGCATTCCTCATTCTCCACAGCCTCACCAGCATCTATGGTTTCTTGACTTTTTAATAATCACCATTCTGACCGGTGTGACATGGTATCTCACTGTGGTTTTGATTTACATTTCTGTAATGATCAGTGATGTTGAGCTTTATTTCATGTTTGTTGGCTGTGTAAATGTCTTCTTTTGAGAAGTGTCCATATCCTTTTCCCACTTTTTGATGGGGTTGTTTGCTTTCTTCTTGTAAATTTGTTTAAATTCCTTGTAAATTTTGGATATTAGACCTTTGTCAGTTAGGTAGATTGCAAAAATTTTCTCCCATTCTGTAGATTGCTGGTTCACTCTGATGATAGTTTCTTTTGCTGCGCAGAAGTTCTTTAGTTTAGTTAGATCCCATTTGTCAATTTTGGCTTTTGTTGCAATTGCTTTTGGCATTTTTGTCATGAAGTCTTTGCCCATGTCTATGTCCTGAATGGTATTGCCTAGGTTTTCTTCTAGAGTTTTTATGGTTTGTGGTTTTTATTTAAGAATTTAATCCATCTTGAGTTAATTTTTGTATAAGGTGTAAGGAAGAGGTCCATTTTTAGTTTTCTGCATATGGCTAGCTAGTTTTCCCAGCACCATTTATTGAATAGGAAATCCTTTCCCCATTGCTTGTATTTGTCAGGTTTGTTGAAGATCAGATAGTTGTAGATGTGTGGTGTTATTTCTGAGGTCTCTGTTCTGTTCCATTGGTCTATATGTCTGTTTTGGTACCAGTGCCATGCTGTTTTGGTTACTGTAGCCTTATAGCATAGTTTGAAGTCAGGTAGTGTGATGCTTCCAGCTTTGTTCTTTTTGCTTAGGACTGTCTTGGCTATACAGGTTTTTTTTTGATCCCATACGAAATTTAAAGTAGTTTTTTCTAATTCTCTGAAAAATGTCAATGGTAGTTTGATGGGAATAGCACTGAATCTATAAATTACTTTGAGCAGTATGGCCATTTTCACGATATCGATTCTTCCTATCCATGAGGATGGAATGTTCTTCCATTTGTTTGTGTAATCTCTTATTTCCTTGAGCAGTGATTTGTAGTTCTCCTTGAAGAGGTCCTTCACATCCCTCTTTAGCTGTATTCCTGGGTATTTTATTCTCTTTGTAATGATTGTGAATTGGAGTTCATTTGTGATTTGGCTCTCTGCTTGTCTATTGTTGGATTAAAGGAATGCTTGTAATTTTTGCACATTGATTTTTTATCCTGCGACTTTGCTGAAGTTACTTCTCAGCTTAAGGAGTTTTGGGGCTGAGATGATGGGGTATTCTAAATATAAAACCATGTTGTCTGCAAACACAGACAATTTGACTTCCTCTATTCCTATTTGAATACCCTTCATTTATTTCTCTTGCCTGATTATTGCCCTGGCCAGAATTTCCAATACCATGTTGAATAGGAGCAGTGAGAGAGGGTATTCTTGTCTATGCTGGTTTTCAAAGGGAATGCTTTCAATTATCCCCATTCAATGTGATATTGGCTGTGGATTTGTCATAAATAGCTCTTATTTTGAGATATGTTCCATCAATACCTAGTCTATTGAAGTTTTTAACATAAAGGGATGTTGCCTTTTATCAAAGGCCTTTTCTGCATCTATTGAGATAATCATGTGGTTTTTGTCTTGGGTTCTGTTTATGTGACGGATTACATTTATTGATTTGCGTATGTTGAACCAGACTTGCATCTCAGGATGAAGCCGACTTGATCATGGTGGATACGTTTTTTGATGTCCTCCTGGATTCAGTTTGCCAGTATTTTATTGAGGATTTTTGCATCAATGCTCATCAGGGATATTGGCCTGAAGTGTTCTTCTTTTGTTGTGTCTCTGCCCGGATTTGGTATCAGGATGATGCTGGCTTCATAAAATGAATTAGGGAGGAGTCCCTCCTTTTCAATTCTTCAGAATAGTTTCAGAAGAAATGGTACCAGCTCCTCTTTGTAACTCTGGTAGAATTCAGCTGTGGATCCATTTGGTCCTGGACATTTTTTGGTTGGTAGGCCATTAATTACTGCCTCAATTTCAGAACTTGCTATTGGTCTATTCAGGGCTCCAACTTCTTCCTGGTTTAGTCTTGGGAGGTTACCAGGAATTTATCAATTTCTTCTAGATTTTCTAGTTTATTTGTGTAGAGGTGTTTACAGTATTCTCTGATGGTAATTTGTATTTCTGTGGGGTCAGTGATGATACCCCCTTTTTCATATTTTATTGTGTCTATTTGGTGCTTCTCTCTTTTCTTCTTTATTAGTCTAGCTAGTGGCTTATCTATTTTTTAAATTTTTTTAAAAAACCAGCTCCTGGTTTTATTGATTTTTTTGGAGGGTTTTTTGGGTTTCTATGTCCTTCAGTTCTGCTCTGCTCTTAGTTATTTCTTGTTTTATGCTAGCTTTTGGATTAGTTTGCTTTTGCCTCTCTAGCTCTTTTAATTGTGATATTAGGGTGTCGATTTGAGATCTTTGCAGCTTTGTGATGTGTGCATTTAGTGCTATAAATTTCCCTCTTAACACTGCTTTAACTGTGTCCCAGAGATTCTGGTACATTGTCTCTTTGTTCTCATTGGTTTCCAAGAACTTCTTGATTTCTGCCTGAATTTCATTATTTACCCAGGAGTCACTTGGGAGCAGGTTGTTCAGTTTCCATGTAATTGTGTGGTTTTGAATGTGTTTTTTAGTCCTGAGTTCTAATTTGATTGCATTGTGGTCTGAGAGACTGTTTGTTATGATTTTAGTTCTTTTGCTTTTGCTGAGGAATGTTTTACTTCCAATTATGTGGTCGATTTTAGAATAAGTTCCATGTGGTACTGAGAAGAATGTATATTCTGTTGATTTGGGTTGGAGAGTTCTGTAGATGTCTATTAGGTCCACTTGATACAGAGCTGAGTTCAAGCCCTGAATATCCTTGCTAATTTTCTGTCTCATTGATCTCTCTAATATTGGTAGTAGAATGTTAAAGTCTCCCACTATTATTGTGTGGGAGTCTGAGTATCTTTGTAAGTCTCTAAGAACTTATTTTATGAATCTGGGTGCTCCTGTATAGGGTGCATATATATTTAGAGTAGTTAGCTCTTGTTGAACTGTTCCCTTTACCATCATGCAAGGCCTTCTTTGTCTTTTTTTTTATCTTGTTGGTTTAAAGTCTGTTTTGTCAGAGACTAGGATTGCAACCCATGCTTTTTTTTTTTTTTTTTTTCTTTCCATTTGCTTGGTAAATTTTCCTCCATCCCTTTGTTTTGAACCTATGTGTGTCTTTGCACATGAAATGGATCTCCTGAATATAGCACATCAATGGGTCCTGACTTTTTATTCAATTTGCCAGTCTGTGTCTTTTAATTGGGGCATTTAGCCCATTTACATTTAAGGTTAGCATTCTTATGTGTGAATTTGATCCATCATCATGATGCTATCTGGTTATTTTGCACAACAGTTGATGCAGTTTCTACATAGTGCCATTGGTTTTATATTTTGGTGTGTTTTTGCAGTGGCTGGTACTGGTTTTTCCTTTCCATATTTAGTGCTTCTTTCAGGAGCTCTTGCAAGGCAGACCAAATGGTAACAAAATCTCTCAGCATTTGCTTGCCCAGAAATGATTTTATTTCTTCTTCGCTTATGAAGCTTAGTTTGGCTGAATATTAAATTCTGGGTTGAAAATTCTTTTCTTTAAGAATGTTGAATATTGGCCTCCAATCTCTTCTAGCTTGTAGAGTTTCTGTTGAGAGGTCTTCTGTTAGTCTGAAGGGCTTTGCTTTGTAGGTTACTTTGCCTTTCTCTCTGGCTGCCCTTAATATTTTTTCATTCATTTCAACCTTGGAGAATCTGATGATTATGTGTCTTGGGGTTGATCTTCTCATGAAATATCTTAGTGGTGTTCTCTGTATTTCCTGAATTTGCATGTTGGCCAGTCTTGCTATGTTGGGGAAGTTCTCCTGGATAAAGGATAGGTAAATTCTATGGGTAATACAGTAGATATAGTGCAACAGGAACTTACCAGTTAAGATACAGTCATAACCACTCACCCCTAGTTGGAATGTAGGTTTCACACAACTCCCACTGATGAAAAGAAATATATGTATTTTTCAACTGTTTAACCCTTTGTTAAGTTTTCTTGTGTAAAATTATCTGCAGAGCCATGAAAAACCATTTGATATTTGTGACTAAGCAGCCTGTTTGGATGATTATGCTCTTCAGTATGAATGGTGAGCTGTTAAATGACATGCTCAATCATTGCTATGGAAGAAATTTGTTCTTACTAGCAACTTGAAGCTTAAAGAAACATTTATAGGAAAGAAAATTACTCAAAGCTTTAAATAAGGCTACTTTTAGAGTTGGCCTTAGACTACCTAGAGGGCATGATGATTAATCTTTCACAAATTACAGATTTTATTTGTTCATGTCCAGTGAGGTGACTTCTTGGTGGACATCTTCATTGCAATTTTCAGCAGCTCTATCAATGACACATGTTAACTGAAGCTGACATGGGTTGCTCTTGCTCTCTTGGAATGTCTTTATTTCTGTCCTAATATGCAAAGGTAGTGCCAGAATTTCTTAATAGGAGGGCCTCAGGTATAACAATCTAGTTGACAGGAAAAGCAATGGAATCTTCACTGCATTTGCATCACAAGCATACTGTTTTTTCTTACGTGTGTTTTTTAGGGTGTCTTGGGATGTTGATCCTCTTTAAGTCAAATAGAAAAAATGAAAATGAAATGCCATAGCCAATATTAGAGATATATTAATTTTAGTCTTTGTTGCTTTTATATTTTTCTAGGACAAAGAGATCTTCAAAAATCAAAAATGAGGTTCACATTTACAAGCCGGTGCTTGGCACTGTTTCTTCTTCTAAATGTAAGTAAAACAAAAGTATTCAAAGCCATGCTAATGAAGAATGCTGAATAAGGAGGAATGTTTTGAGTGTGATTTAATTAGTATTTGCAAGGGTAGGCATTGGTCTCCAGAAGCCGAAACTAAGTTCCTCAAAGCCATTATTTTGCTTAATATTTTGTTAACAAATCTCTCCTCTGAACTGTCTCTAATTTAAATTAGTGTTTGTGGTCTACCCAGAAATTTGAGTTTTGTTTACAAAACTTTAGCATTAATTTTAGACATCTCCATATTATCTTAGAAATTAACATAGTTGGTAAATAATATTCTCAGGTAAAATGTTTTCATGTTGAAAAAACTATGTTTTGAATCTTAGTTCAAAACTATGATTTGAATGATAGTTTCTGGGCTGTTCAATCCTTTTAAAACATCTGGGCTGTTCAATTCTTTTAAAACTTCTGAACTCTTTCAGTCTGGCTATTGATTTCAAATGTATTTTTCATCAAAAACTGACTATGGAAACTTCAAGTCTTTATATACCACTATTATTCTATAACTCTTTCTCCAATCTTTTAAATTATGTTCAGTTTGTGTAATTCTATATTGTTTTATTCCTAAAAGATTTAGCAAGTAATCGGAAATATAATCATCTTAGAGAACACTATCAATGCCTATTATTTGTGTCAACATTGTTAACCTACCATCACATCAGCTTCAATAGCACATGAATGGGAGATGAGTAAATTTTACGTAAATCAATGTGGAGCTGCCTTGCTTCTTATCCTTTCTGTCACATCAGAGTAACATTTGCTAATAAATTACAGTTGGCAGCAAAGATCACTCAATATCTCATACTGTCATACTGACCCACACAAAGCTTGCATAGGGTTCGAGGATTTCCATTGTTTATTAATGTGTAGTTATAGGCCTACAAGTCTGTCTAAACTGTTTGTCTTTATATTATTCAAGAAAAAAATATTGCTAGTATTTCATAAATGTTAATTTAATTTGTAAGGCAATTTTTATTTTGTAATATTGTACATCAAATAAATGGTGTATGGGAATGACTATTAATGCAACCCTTTTGCACCTATTTGGATAATGAGTATAACTTATTTTATTGTCAGTTTGTCTTATCATTTTATCCTATTAAATATTTCTTTAGATAAATTACAGTAAAATTTTCTAAAAGTAATTAGTATTTGGAAATGCAGGTTTCTTTATGTCACTGGAAATATAATAAAAACACTAAACAAGACTACTATGGAAACTAATAGAATATTTTAATTTGCCAGTAAATACCCAGGCCTTATGTGGTCTTCTATGGATGTAAAAATATTGCTATATATTATTGATATTGTTATTTTTCATAGCTCAAATGAAATCCTAAGTGATCTGGTATATGTGAATATTTTTGAATAATCATGCTTCATAAATAATTATATTGAACATGACAGAAGAAAAACTAAAGAAAGAACTAAATACTAACAAAATTGTTTGAAGATTATCTAATTACCTTTTTTATTACAAAGGCTTTAGAAAATTTGTAGTGTGTTCAAAAAGCAACGTAGGTCATTTTTATTCAAAACTTTTACTAATGTAGTCTATAATTTAAATATTGAAAAAAATGCACATCTTTGCATGAGCCATGGACAGAAACATTTTATGGCTTGTGGGCACCTCTTGACCAGCAAGCATAACTGAACAGGGCACTTAAATGGGTTTGTGCTCTCTTTGCTGTGACAGAGAGAAATTTGCTTCTCTCTCTGTATTTGGATTATATATTTGATTTGGAGGATTTGTCCATAAAACAAAATTTGATATGTCCATTTTCTTCAAAACGTTTATTATGTTCACACTGACACTTCTCAGAGAAAAAAAATTTTAATGACAATGTTCCTAATTAATCCGAAATATTACTTTTTAGACAATAGATTGTTGTGAAAATACACTAACTATTGAACTCTATCAACTCGATTTCCATATAGGTTTTAAAGTCTCAGTTTGGGTCACCACCTTCAATTAGCCTCTTTCCATTAACCATAACCACCCACTCAATTCCTCTCCCTCCTGCGAGGTATACAGTAAGCTTAGAGCAGCAGTTGGTATACAGTGAGCTCTCAGAAAAAGATGCCAGTGACGATGCTGATGACAACAAAGCCAATGGTAATAACAAAGACATAAAAATTAGGTTCTTCAGAGCAGGTGTTATTGTTACTTGTTTACTTATCTATGTTCACCTATTTGCTTTGAATTTATGATATATGCAGTTTCGTTGTTTATATAATGTAAGTAGAATTACACAGTACACCAGCCAGGCATCTGATCTTACCTGGGAAAACCAGGGCTAACACTTTTTACAACAGTGTGCTTTGTCCTTTCTTATTTTGAAATGTGTAAGTAACTGAAAAGCAAAAATAATTATATACATTATCAACATTAAGGATGGTGACATGAAAATCTCATTGGTTGCATCAGTTTGTGGATTCTAGGTTTACATACTTTTTAGAGTAGTTTTGCATGTGGCAATCAATAGGAAGCTCTCCCTTCAGCACAGCAGCTTGGGTCCATACACTCAGTGGGCTTGAACTATTGCAGAGATGGACCATTTCTCAAAGTTCCATGAAGAACAGCTCTGTAACTGTCTCTGTACTTCTAGAAACTGCCTGTAACCCAAAAGCAAACTGACTGTCCTACATCACAGTAGGAATTGCATAAGCATATGACCATTTCAAATCAGATTCCTTTCCTGTGGATTCCATGATTAGTGTGGATAAAATCAAGAATGTAAGCTCTATGAGAGCAGGTGGCTTGCCAGTTTGGTTCACTGCTGAATTTCCAGAACCTAGAAGAGTGCCTGACATGTGAGAGGCACTCAAAGTATTTGTCGACTGAAAAAAACTGATGATGTTTGGGCTGCTGACTACTGCTGTTGGTGGCAGCTTGGTGGTCGTATGTGTGACGCCATTTACTTGAACCTTTAGGAGTGACATCACATATACGGCAGCTAAACTGCTACATGGGACAACAATTAAGAGTTTTGTTTGTTTGTATGTTGAAAAATCATGTAAGATGGTTTATATGCAAAGCTTTGAAAACTGATGTTTATTCAGAAAAACAATATGCCCTTAATATCTCATTTCTATCTGAATGTGAACATATAATCATATTTTTATTTAACCCCCTGAAATAAGTAGTATAGACATAACACTTATAATAAGTAGGATATTTGAAGTCTCTTACATTGTTTGGTAGTTTCATCCAATCACTACTGGTTTTATTTTGTCTCTGTATTGCTGAAAATGATACCACCTTCCCAGCAATTCTTATTTGTATAAAATTATCAGCAAAAGTTTAACATTTAATAAACTTTATGAAATTTGTATATGTGTTATTTTTAAGCAGTAGTAATTCCATGATTGTAATTATATATATATAATATACATAAAATCATACATATACATATATTTATATGTTTATATCTATCTATCTGTCTGTCTATCTATCTATCTATCTATCTATCTATCTATCTATCTATCTATCTATACAGTCAGCCCTCTGTATCCATGGGTTGTACATCCATAGATTGAACCAATCTTGGATAGAAAATATTCAGGAAAAAATTGTATTGTAAACATACAGACTATTTTTCTTTTTATTATTTCCTAAATAATACAGTATAACAACTATTTACATCATATTTACATTGTACTAGGTATAAATAATCTGGGGATGATTTAAATAATACAGGAGGATGTACATAGGTTATATGCAAATACTACACCATTTTATATGAAGGACCTAAGCATCCTCAGATTTTGGTATCCACATATGCAAATACTACACCATTTTATATGAAGTACCTAAGCATCCTCAGATTTTGGTATCCACAGGAGGTCCTGCAACCAATCCCCTGAGTATACCAAGGGATGACTGTATGTATAAACGTAATGCCCCAATGGGTATGTTATTTTAGGAAGAAGGCCACTGAGACATTCATCTACTGTTGGGAAAATTCCATCTTCAGTGCTCAAATATGAACCAGACCAGGAACTGATGCAGATTATTACTGCTCATCTGACAACAGAGGTTCTAATTTTTCATTCCTTCAGTGTTGAAACAATCTCTACTGAACCAGCTTCAAACAAGTTCACTGGAGTTTGTTTCAATATTGCAAGAATGATAAGATGGAAGCTACTTTCATCAGCATGAATTATAACTACTCGTATACAGATTGTCGTATTTCCACTGTTACTGATGTTAAAACTGCATTAAAGCAAATAAAAATATAATTGAAAATACAAGCATAGGGTTTTCTACTTGTTATCCTCGGACATACTATTTGCCTATGGTTTCCATGAATTTCCAACTAGAGCAAGAAAATCTCTTGGTTGGTTGTCAGCCATATAAAAAGAGAATTCAGAATGTTACTTTTGGGAAGAAAGCCAGATTTAAACAAAATACTTCCCAGTGTTTAGCATATCTAATACAAGTGACAGATAAGATTTATATATGACATCATGTTCCATCTTCTAATTCGATTTGAAGATGGTGAGAAAATGGTCCAGAAATTAATAATACATCAAATGATCATTCTCATATTAACTGAAGATTTTAGAGCCACAAAAGAAGAATCTAAAATAAATGTATAAGTTGAACCAATAATTAATATCTCTATTGTGAAGGCATCATGATCCATTCTTGTTTTGATGGTTGCCTAATATGTAATTGAATTTTTAAAACACACATATTCATACAAAAGTTGAGTAATAAACTAAAAAAAGAAACCTCAACATGGAATCCCTTCAAATTACTCTTTTTTAAAAATTTTGCAAATCGTGTTCCAATTCCATTAGGAATATCTAAGAATTTTATGACTGATGATTCTTTATTGTTCATAATTTCAAGTATCAGAAATATATTTTATAGTGTTGGTCCATCTTGCCAGACTGTAAGCTCTATGAGAGCACAGTCTACACTTATTTTATTCAGCACTGTATCCTCAGCATCTGGCACAATGTTGGGCTCATCAAGTTTGATCAATATTTGCTGACTGATCTGAAGACCAGTGGGGAAAGTGTCATATATCAAAAGAATTGTGTTCAGCTACACTGGTAAAGGATTTGCACAGTTATAATCATTTTTATGGGTTCATTACTTTCTCTTCTGACATAAATTCAAGAGACATTAAAATTAGAAATCAACAAAATGTTTAAAGAGTAGTGTCAACCTTATTCACAATTGGTGTCCATTTGAAGTTATCACAGTAATGTTATAATAATGATAAGTATTCACCCTCTTCTCTTTGCAAGATATTTCCACTAGGATGGCTTGCTACCATCTCCAAATCTAACCCAAAATAGGACTTACTTACCAAGGGGGAGAAGTTCCCCCTAATAAGGTTTTCCTTTCCCAGCATCTTCCCTTTCTTGGGAACTATTTTTTTCCCCAAATATCTAGGCTAATTATCTGGGCTATTTGACTATTACTGTTTCCCATTCCTTGTATTCAAATATGCCTTCATGTTTTTATTATTGAGAAGGTGCTAAGAGTGGTACTTTCTTGTTCCAACATGGACTGATCTAGTCCAGCCAGGCCTTCAACTTCCTGGCTGCCCCCACCCCACCCCGCAACTTTAACCTGTGGACATCTGATGCCTGCTGCATGAATTTTACTAAAAATTCTCCTTTCACAACCTTCACTGATCAAAAATCTACAAAACATCTTTATCATATATATTATGTTATATACCATGTTTTAACAATATTAGCTAAAATGTTTTGAACCTTTCATGTCCCTGACACTTGGTGTTTATTGTCTTGTTCATCCTCACAACATGACAGATGATAAATATTATTCTTACCGCTCTTCTTATTTTACGTTTCCTAGGTTGAGGAAACAGATCTAGTGAGAGGTTGCTAACCTGCTCAAAGTGACAAAACAAGTTTTAACTCTTTTTTTGTTATCTGAAGATTCAGATAATGCAGTCTTGAAAGCAAAGTCCTGACCTTCTTACCCTCAAATATGCTCCCCTTCAGGCAAGATGGTTTTCTCACAGTGGCTCATGCATGTCATTTCCAACCTCCAGACTTTTGTGGGAAAGGTCCCTCCATCCCAAAAGGCTTCTCGACCCCCCCTTGTGCCTATGCAGAAACTTCCCACACTCAAGATACAATTCAAATTCTACCTTGTATCTGTAGCCATCCTGAATATTTTTGCTCCCTACTCTCTCCAAACTCTGAATTTTGATTGGATTCTGTGCTGGACAGCTTAGCAGTTAGTGATGTGCTGTCGTGTAGGACATATACAATGACACACATGGAAAACAGTGAGGATTCACCATGAAGAGCCAGGAATATACATGTCAACTTAATAGGGATGAGTTTTGTTTAGAAACTAGCACATATAGAAGAGTACATAACACCACTTCTGCCATCAATACAATTGGAGAAACTTCAATCTTAGAATTGAAATTTCAACGGGTATGATAGAAATTAAGCAGCATTCCTAAATTTAGAAAAAGGAAAGTCAGTGCAGGCTGATGTTTTTAGGTCTCCTCAAAAAAAGAAAAAAAAATCTCTATGCAGAACATGGATATTAAAAATTCGCAGATTCCAACACCACTAAAAACATTGGTCATAGCCACAAAAGAAATTGAAATCTTTATAAACACAAGTTAGGAAGAACAGTGTGACAGAGTGATCTTTTCAAACACCCACATTACCTTTGAAAAAGAGAGGCTTGTGATGGTGATGATTAACTGAAACTGAAAAAAACTATTGTCAATCTGTACCAAAATGCAAATGTGCTGAGATAAATATCTAAGAAATACATTGATTTTTCATTAGTGAACATGAATTGCCCTGTACAGGTCATCTGCTGTTGAAACCAATTTAAGGAGATTATGGTCAATTATGAGGAGCAGAAAACATATTTTGTTTGTTCCATGGAATAGATGGGATAAATTTCTGGCAGTGTACACAGCACCAATAAAATTTAGCTGAAAGAATCAAATAAAAAAGCATATTTATTGAACTATGTCTATTTTTTAATAACATGATTCATGATTCTTAAGAGTAAGGCAAAGTTGATTTCATATTTGTATTTTTTGGAAATTAGATTATTTGTTTTGTTTACTTCTAAACTTTAGAATCATAATACAGTTAAAACAATCCTAGCTGATAAAGAGGTATATGAGTGTGTAGGTGTTATCCATTTTCAATAGTAAATGGAAACTAATGCAAATGTAAAATGTGCCAGTAGAATTTGTAGATGAAATGTGAAAACATTTTTTGTAATATATATGAAAAAAACTGTACATAGAGACCATGAATAAGTATTGCTTAGAGAGCAAAAATAAATGTTTTCAAACTTTTTCATTGTCTCATTTATTTGTGCTCACCCATTCCTCCTGTCTATAAGTAACTGATTTTTCTTTTTAATACAGCACCCAACCCCAATTCTTCCTGCCTTTTCAAATCAAACCTATCCAACAATAGAGCCCAAGCCATTTCTTTACGTCGTAGGACGAAAGAAGATGATGGATGCACAGTACAAATGCTATGACCGAATGCAGCAGTTACCCGCATACCAAGGAGAAGGTAAAGAGAAGGATATATATGAACATATGTTTGAAACACCATTACAGACATTTTCTTTTGTGGTTAAATATGTGTTGAATAATTTTAATTTAATATGCCAGCAGTTTTCACAGCAGTTTTCACACTATGGTATGTTTGTGTATTTCATGCAGTGCATATGCCTAATTTCTTTGCCCAAGTTCATCTGACTGCAATTTGGCTAACATCTGCCCTCATGATAAAATTACCGCAATAATTCAGTATTCACACCTGGTGAGCCGGAACAGTAAAGGACCGAGTGAGGGAGGGGATGTACAAAATGACAGGAAAGGGAATTGGAAAATAGAGGGCAGAGAATTTGCCTGAGGTGGACCCTATCAAACCCTATCTTGCTTGGATTAATTAGGTAGTATCTTCCCTTTAACTGTCAATTGGTTGGCAACCCATACTATTCTTCCACACTTTCTGGCCCCACTTTCCAGGAGAATTACAAAAAGGTACCTCCTAGCCAGACATTGTTTATCTACCAGCTTCTCTAGAATGGCTGTATGTGACTGCCCAGATATTTTCAGGTCTAAACATATTCTATTAGCTGTAGAGGACCCATAGAAAAACAAAAGGGGAGATGTGATGGGCAAGCTCATTGCAACATCCCTTTAAATTCTCCTACTTGTCCCCTGAGGCATTTGAAAAGATTCAATAAGATCTTTTACTATATATATATATATATATATATATTTAAGACAGGGTCTCACTCTCTCGCCCAGGACGATCCTCCCACTTTAGCCTCCTGAGCAGTTGGGACTACAGGTGCATGCCACCATGCCCAGCAAATTTTTGTATTTTTTTGTAGAGATGGGGTTTTGCCATGTTGTCCATGCTGGTCTCCAACTCCTGGGCTCAGGAGAGGTTCCCAAAGTGCTAGGATTACAGGCGTGAGACACTGCATCTGGCCTACTACCATGTACATTTTAAGACAACCCAACTTGGTAGGGAAAAAAATGGTAAAATATACTCTGTTACTGCACATTCTTTGCTTTCAAATAGTTCAAGTTTTAGTTTGTAGTTCTTATTTTTACCATTTTCCTTTAAACAAAAACATCAAGTCAACTGAAAGGCAGATACATATTATTCTTCTGTCTGCAGTAATTTCAGTGTTTATCAAGAACTGAACAGGCATTAGACATAACTCTGACCAAAGGAGAAACAATTTCGTTGAAGCCAGTGAGACAATAAAAACACAGAACTGATATTTTTGGGGTTTTCTGAGAGCTCTTTTCATTTTTTAAATAATTTTTGAGAGCTTTCTTGAAAGCCTGGATCTGATTCTTTTGAATACATACCTTTATAGAAGTAAATCTTCATGGTTTTAGGTAGAATTTTTTTTTTTTTTTTTTTTTTTTTTTTTTTTTTGAGAGAGGGTCTTGCAGTCTTTGGGGCATTTGCTTTTTTGATGCACTCAACTTTGGAACCTTTTACAAAGTAGAAATAGAACCCTGCTTGTCATCCAATGAGATAATTTGGTCACAGATATGCTAAGCCTATTTGAAACTTTATTTCCAAAATAAATGACTTGGCTTGTTTGAAATGTGGTTGGTTATGACTGGTGTAGTGAGCTCAGCTACTTGTAATATCGTCTTGGGATCAATCTTCTCATTTAGTTAAATCCACAAGGCTTCAATATCAATTTCCTTCTAAATGGCCAGGTCCATATTGCAATCGCACCTGGGATGGATGGCTGTGCTGGGATGACACACCGGCTGGAGTATTGTCCTATCAGTTCTGCCCAGATTATTTTCCGGATTTTGATCCATCAGGTAGAGTGTTTATTTTCATTTTATGTTCTTGCTATGAAGCTTTTAGAGTTTTCATGGTTTTGAGAAGAAAATCAGATACAAAATGTACCCACCTAATCATACTCCACATTTTAGCAACTTCTGAAGTGTTTCCTTAATTGAAATACTTCTTAGTTGTACAAATATTACAAGCTGTCCTTTTTTTTAAGTCATGTTGCTGGTCAGTTATATGTGTTGGTATTAAATTCTGGTTTATAAAAATAGCTTTTCTAAAACTCTGTGAATAGTTTTATTTAAATGTGAGTTTTAAAAATTTTTCAATTGTCTCACTGAAAAAGGGGTAGAAATCTTAATTATGAAGGAGACCCAGATGCTGAAACTAAATGGATTAGCTATGGGCACAACATATAGGTCCCTGTTAATGGGTGAAATTTGTTCCCAAGAGTAAAGTGAGCCTGAGCCTACAGGGGTTAAGTGGCTCTAGAATCCCAATTAAAGAAGAAAAATGAGTCTACCCCTGAAACAATGTTAGAAAAATGCTTTTTGTGCTTCCTTCCAGAGTGAAAGATCTAATCTGTCCCTGAAAACAAAATTTCACCTCAGTAAGGCAGAGATAATGGAAGTGGAATTGCAGAGGACCTCTTTTAAAACCAGTGCAGGCCAGCCACTTCTGGGAATTCCCATTGTGATGGAAAAGTTGGGATGTGAAGAAAGAAAGGGCTTTGTGCTGTGCCCTAAATCAGCTACATTCCTGGAATCTCTAACTAAATGCTATTTGATGATAATCCTTCAGGCCCTTATTGACTCTTCCCAATGAATGATGCTTCATTAATCTTGATTTGACAACTACATTAGAAGTTACTTGATTGGCACGAAGAGCTGTTGTGCAATTGAGGCTACTAGGCCAGTTCCAAAGTAACAATGGGGCTCTTGCCAAAGTGGATATAAATAGTGACTACAAGGCAAGGTTTTGATAAAAAAATCAGAGATTTACAGGCATCGATCCATCTTTTCAGCCTGGTTCTTATACAGAAACCTCTCAGCTGCAGGATAAATTCATTTTAAAAGTGTATCTGAAATATATACATATATTCCAAACTTAAATTATAAACATATACATAACATAATATATATATACACATACACACACATACCAAACTTAAATTCTTCAGGATTTTCTTATTGACCTAAAGCTTACATCTTAATGATGTACAAAACACATTAATGAAATGCCAGAGGTTTGTTTCACTTTGGAAAAAGTACTTGGTAAAAGATAGTGAAAGAGTGAAGAACTGTATTGAAATTCAAAAGAGGCTGACATTCTGAAGGAATATGCTGGAATGTAAAAAGCAAAATTTAACAAGGAAGCATTTACAGCCCTGCACTTGAAGACAAACAAACAATTTTAATGGCACAGAGCCATTAAATGGTCCAAATATGGTTTGGGACGGTGATTCTCAACCCAGATGCCCTTTCACAAAATGAAAAAAAAAATTGTGAGCTTATGAAAAATGCAGATGCCTGACCCCTGTCCAGATCAATAGAATTTGAATCTCTAGGGACAGGACCTCGGAATCTGCAAGTAGTTCCCCTGCGTGAATCTGGAGTGAGAGAAGCACATTGTACTTTTCATGGGTCAGTCCACACATAGAGTATTTTAGAGAGAAATATCAATTATCAAAGCACATGTGGAGAGTCTCCAGGCTGTTAGCGGAAAATCTGTGGGGAGTGAATAATGGGGGTGTTTGGTTTCTAAAGGGAAGTCCCAGAGTAAACATAATCCTTTCTTCAAGTATTGAAAGACTCATCAGGTGAAGTAGGACAAATTCTTGATAGTTATAACAGTTAAAACCAAGAAATGACTCGATCCAGACTTTAGTTAAAACAAAACAAAAAATACCATTTGCTATGGCCTTGTTCATGAGTGGAATGACCTTCTTTAAGAGTAGTATCTCTCTGCATACAATATATTTTCCCATACCTGGCTGCATAACTTCATTGAAACCAAATTACATTCATTTTATTTAAAAAAAAAACTACTTTCTGCAATCTAATAAATATAAATTGTGGCCACTTTTAAAAATTGCAAGTAAGCTTGGAAGGGTTGTCATTGACAAATAACATTAGCAAAATAATCGACAAATTTTCAACATCAATTTTTTGTGCTGATTAGTGCTAATCCTTTTTCACATGTTGTTAATGTCCAATAGAGATGCTTTAAATAGGGTTTGTCTAGTGGCTATCTCAGTAAATTTACAGTTTTAAGTTTTCTTATTTAACTTTGTAACAGATTTACATGAAGCAGTAATGATTCTAATAGGTTGCTTGAAAACATCTTTTGCTTGAAAAAATGTTTTTTCATCCATTTTAAATAAAAATTAAACATACAAATAACTCTATAACCTGCAGTTTAAATCTTGCATTTAGTTCAATAAGACCTGTTTTGGTCATACAATAAAAAATGATGAATTATACCTAAAAATTGCCAAGTTGAAAGGATTTTTTTACTAGCTCTTAGCAGATTGAGTAACCAAAACTACTAATAGAAAATTATTTTAAATATTATCAGATCTCAGTGATTTTTCAGCCCAATAAGTTTCTCTTTTCTTTAGTATGTTATTTCCTTAGCCTTTTAAACAATAGCAGTGTTCTTCAAATATTACCATATGATTCTGATTTCCACATCCTGTGCTAAAAAAGAACATAGCCATCTATAAAAGCATTATCTATACGTACAACAATGCTTTGCCTTTGTTAACATAGAAAAATGCTTCAAAAATATTTTCCCTGAGAAATGATCAAAGATTAAAATTTTGTGAAGATTCCAAATACACTTGCAAAATCTCCCTGCATATTATACCAATCTAGGCTTGCTATTTGATCTCTCAGACAATAAACACATCGAATGGGTGCTTTGAAGAACTGGAGAGTATCTGAATAACTCAGATTAAATTTGGCAAGTACATTCATTTTAGTGTTTACTTGTTCATTATTTCTATGTTATTTAATTCAACCTGATTTTTTCTTTCAGTTGCTTGGCCAATTCAGAGGTTAGAATTTAAATATTATCTTGTAGCTAACAACATTATCTAAAATTCTTTAGGTCACTGGAATGGAATGTAGATAACCTTGATCATTTATGAGATTTCACCTTCTAGAGTCCCAGTACCAAATTAAAATATTGTTGACCAGTATTATAATACAAAAGCGAGGTTTTTTTTAGACAATCCAGCCAAATTCTAATTTTATTTCAGTGCCATTTTAGTTGTTTGCTAACAATTATACTAGTTTTACAGTGTGTTTATCCTGCTGATAATAGTGTCTTGATAAATATTATCTCACCATTCTGACCACTTTTTACTCCCAATATATATTGATGTGATTTCCCAGCCTCATGCACTTTACCCAGAATCTCAGATATATACTCAGTTAATAATTAAGCAAAATACAGAACAAAGAAGTTTTCTTATTTATTTTTAAGATGGAGCACTTGATGTAGGGTCTGGTATATTTTAAGTTATCAAATGTTATTTTAAAAAATTATTGTAGTTGCTATGGTGGCCTAATATTTTAGTGTGAATTTCAGCAAAGATATGAGTCATCCCCATGAGAACTTATTATTTCTATCAAGTTTGGAACTTTACTTTGTACTGATACATATACACTGCCTAAAAAAATTAAAATAAAAAAAGCAGCAAGGCTTTATCATACTGTAACCAGCACTGAATATATCACACAAAAATAATTGAAAAAATAATAAGCCTGATGGGAACCAGCAGACACCACAAAGCAAGCACTTGGAAAAAGTTCTTTCTCAGGGCTCAAAGAAAATCTTCTTATCCTTTTCCTCCAAAATATTTTAGTGTAAGCTGAACTCTTAAGCTCAGTGGGCAGCCCCAGAATCACTGACCTGCTGGTTGGAGGGATAGTAAGATGTCAGGCTTTCCTCCTCTTTGCTAAGCATCAATTTCAAAAAAAAAAAAAAAAAGGGGGGGGGGCCAAACCAGTGTTACCTTTTATTTCTATGCCAAATCCAACTTCCAGGTACCATTTACATCATCTTATTTTCTCACCTACATCTGCATCTTAACAATAAGGGCTTGCCTGTTTTGTTTCCTCTGACCAGTTGGCACATTGCCACAGAAATAAGAGGCTTAATTAGTGCTTAATAGCTCTGCAATAGATTTGGAATCAAGTAGACTCGGATTTGATTCCTGACCTTTCTACCTGCTAGTTATGGAAGGGAAATTTACTTATATATAAAATGGGAAGAACAATATTCACTTCAAAGACTCATTATTAACGTTAAAGAAGATAATTCTGCAAAGTGCTGAGCACAGTGCCTGGCACCCCCATAGCGAAGGTGGAGATCTTTAATATGCCAATCCAGCTGAGTTAGGGATTTCATTAACTAGCATCTATGAGATACTTTAAAAAGTCAACATTAAAGGCTGAAGCCTGGATCCCTATATATTTTCTGTGGGATGAAGAGAGATGATTCAAATGAAATCTCTTGAGAGGCAGAAAAATGGCCTCTTGATATATCCCTTAGTTTTGGACTTCTTTGTTCTATTGGATTTAACCATATGGGATTGGGAAGATTTGAACATTTGATCCAAAAATTACTGTTTCATACAGTTAATCTAATGAAAAAACATTGCAAGTAAATAAAGAAAGGTATGTTCTTGTTCTTCTCTAGTAGTTTCCATCTATAATCAAAAGTTTAATGTCTGTTAAAAAATTATGAGGTAGAGTATAGGTAGCACTTTGGAGTCTGACCGATATCCATGTCTTTGGGTCTAAATCCTGGTTCAATCTCAAGCTCCATGACTCCTCTCACTGTCTGCTTTGAATTTGTAAAATGAAGATGGCAATGCCTACTTCACATGGCTTTGCTAAAGATAAAATGAGACAATACATATTAATACACTTTGTATAATACATGATTTGTGATAGTCTCTACTGACATACTCACATTCAAGTTCTATAAAGTGATTAATATGTTGGAATGGCTTTTAAGCTTTAATTTATTATTTTTCCTTGTTGGGATTTTGAGATATTAATGCAATAACTGTTATGTTTCATTAACAGAAAAGGTTACAAAATACTGTGATGAAAAAGGTGTTTGGTTTAAACATCCTGAAAACAATCGAACCTGGTCCAACTATACTATGTGCAATGCTTTCACTCCTGAGAAACTGAAGGTAGGTTCTTTTTCACGTTTCAGTATTGAGTGAGAATGTCATTATTTGTACAAGGAAATGGACGCATAACTGTAAAATATCTGCCACAAAGAAGCCAACAGGTTTTGTGGAAAGAAATCATATGATAACTGGTAAGTTCTAGGAATCTCTAGAGTAGAATTAGAGAAAATGACATTTCACTTCTTGGTTGGCACTCAGAGTCAAGAGTCAATTGAAGTTCCGTGAGCATACAGAATCAGTCCATTTATGGCAGGGGGATAAGTGTCCATAGAGCAGATGAAAGGATTCCCAATGATGCCAGAAATTAGGCAACATTTCAAGGGACTCTCTAACATCTCTTTTCCTGGAAGAGTTTCAAAACTACAGATTTTTCCACAAGTCACAAGATAGCATGCTTCCCCTGTGTTAGCCACAACCTTAGTTTTGTAATAAAGCATAGAAAGAACTCCTAAAGTAGGGCATCTCATCAGTCCACTAATACAGATATGGCTGCTTAGATTATTTTCAGTGGAAGTTCATTCTCAATTGTTAGTACTTGCATTTTACTGTATGTTAAATATTTTGAATATTATCTCTGCTTAGAAACATTTATCTAAGCAAATGGCGAGTGGGGAACAGATGATCTTTCTTCCTCAAATGTATCAAAAATCTGAAAAATTCACCAAGTCTACAACCAGCCTCCTCACCCTACAGAACAAGGAGTTACAGTTGGTCAATGTTTAGCT
The DNA here is from genome assembly GCF_000001405.40 of Homo sapiens. Taxonomy (NCBI): domain Eukaryota; kingdom Metazoa; phylum Chordata; class Mammalia; order Primates; family Hominidae; genus Homo; species Homo sapiens. Next base: position 93,471,649 of record NC_000007.14, on the reverse strand, counting down.
GTGCAGGGCGTCTCTAAGCAACCCTGCTGACTCTAACATAAACCTATTATTTCTGTCAAAGATAGGCCTGTATACTAAATAATTATTCAGTTGAAAACTAAAAGCACATTAGTGTCTTTGTTTGCTGTTGAGATGCTTTCAGGGTGTAGAAAAGTTTTCTTTTATTAAAAACAAAACAAATAACAAAAACAAACGAGATGAACATATGGCTTAGGGACCACTTGAATAGGAGGGACACCTCATCACAAGCACAAGCTAAGGGCACCACAGCCAGTTATCTCTTTACAAATGGTTTAGTCACCCTGAGAATCAGATGCATGTCTACACCCTAATGGAGAGCTGTTAATAAAGTCTGATTAATAAGCTATGTCACAGAGTAGTGAATTTTCCGAATGAGTGTTGATTATGATGTTACAGAGAAAAATTATACTCATGTTAACCAGATTGTTGTAAGTAGTGCAAGTCCAAATCATTCTTAGTGTTGTTTTTGGACTTCTCACGTACACTGGCCACATCTAAGAATGAAATAATTTAAAGAAGAAATGCTACTCTCTAGGCACTTAGTATAATGATTAAAATGCTTTTCACATTCTCAGTAAACTATCGCAAGAACAAAAAACCAAACACCGCATATTCTCACTCATAGGTGGGAATTGAACAATGAGAACACATGGACACAGGAAGGGGAACATCACACTCTGGGGACTGTTGTGGGGTGGGGGGAGGGGTGAGGGATAGCATTGGGAGATATACCTAATGCTAGATGACAAGTTAGTGGGTGCAGCGCACCAGCATGTCACATGTGTACATATGTAACTAACCTGCACATTGTGCACATGTACCCTAAAACTTAAAGTATAATAATTAACAATAAAATAAAATAAAATATTGAAAAAATAAAAATAAAAATAAAAAAATAAAATGCTTTCCACAAATCTTCCATATAAATATAGTCACATTAAAATTTGAAGGAACCAACCTAGAATTCATTAAAAAAAAAGTCAACCTTGAGAATGACACAAGGATGGCAACTAAATTATGAGTTGTTGATTTAATCTTACACATTTAGACAACTCTATTTCAGAAGAACAAATGTTTTTAAAAGGAGTACTCTGGAAGCAACTGAAAAGAATATGAATTAAGTTATATAAATTTTTCTTAGAAATAAAGTATGCAAAGATTTTTTAAAAGACCGACAGAAGAGGGGGTGCAGATACATATCCAAATTAATTAAGGGGCAAGAGTGTTCTACATAGTAAACTATTTAGAAGGAAGAACTTTTAGAAAATGCTCCTCCTGATATTGTCTACAAGTGAAGTTAGAAAAATAGCCAGAAAATGAATTCCTGGGAGAAAAGATAGGTGAGTGTGTGTGTGTGTGTGTGTGTGTGTATAAGATTCCTAAATCCCTCCCAAGAAAGCTACCTGAAGATTTTATCAGCTCCAATTATAAACCAACTATTCTAACTTTATTAACATTTCCTGTAAGAGTAAAATGTGCTATTAAGAGAGTGGTATCAACAATGAAAATGCCCCAAAAATATGGAATGCCTGGTCAAATGATGCAACAGGCACAACTTAGGAGAAGCTAATTAGTCCATTTTGAAATTCTAAGGCCTAGAAAAGGAATGTTCATTTCAGGATAACAATAATGCACATAACCAAGAAAGGGCTCTGAATAGTTTGGATGCATTTTAGCTGACTAGGGCTTCAATCCCAGACTCTTTCTGAGGAAATTGACAAGAATCAAAATGTTCAAGGATATATAAATTCTACATTTATTCCAGGAATTCAAAGAACTTCATAGAAGGTATTCATCCTATCTACACTACATTTGCATTCATACCAAGACCCAACAAACTGTTGAAGGAACTTAAGACCAAAAGCCAAGAGATTAAAGTACAACTACAAAATAATACACAAATTATGCTTCACCAAGAAAAACAAGTGAAAACAAAATCCCTAGTTGCAAAAGATTCAAGTCTACTTCAATTACAGCTGATGAAATTGGCTAAATAGTACAAAATGCAAAAGCTAGTGTCAAAATAGAGTGAAAGAGAGAGAAAGAGAGAGAGAGAGACCAGAAACACAGAAACAGATAAAGAGAAACAGAGAGACAGAGAAGACAGAGAGAGGGATGGGTGACTGGATCAATCTCTATTTTCTCTGTTGATAAAATTACATTATAAGGAAAGGAAAGACTGTGATTACTAGGAAAAAAGATGCTATGACATTATGCATTTTATGAGAAGGACATTCTTCCGAGTCAACATAACATTATGGGAGAATAAATAAAATTAACCATGATCGTGAAAAAAAAAAAGAATTATCAAATGGCTGCCAAGGGGAAAGGTTTCGGCTTCAACCAACTAAATACTAATGATATCATTTTAAACAAAGGCACAGAAACCTGCCACCATACTCTCTGGACCCTCTGTAGGTCAGGACAGCTTGGAAAGTCGATTACTGCTTTGCCAGTTCTGTGGTATAGAATTATGTATCCACTGTCTAAAAGATTCCAGAAGTTAAAAAACTACCAGGATTGCTTACTGGGCTTAGGGATGATAATTTTTAATGCATTTAAAGCTACTTCTGAAATATATTTTTGAATGAGGTACTTCATCTCAAGGAACTTTATTCTTTGAAAATGACAATTTATTTTCATAAAATGACATGAGTAAAGCTAAAAATTAATTTCACTATCTGAAATATTTGTTATAATTGTAGTAGGTTTTTAAAAGGAGGAAAACATTTGTTGATTTACATATATTTAGAAATAGAAATGATTTTCTCTCTGATGAATCATTCATTCATTGTTTGTTTGTTTACTTTTTGTTGTTCCAGAATGCATATGTTCTGTACTATTTGGCTATTGTGGGTCATTCTTTGTCAATTTTCACCCTAGTGATTTCCCTGGGGATTTTCGTGTTTTTCAGGTAAGTACACTCACAGCATCTGCTCTTTATTTCCTCCTTTAAGTTACTGAAACGAATGGTGAATTCTGCAAGAGTGGAGGTGGGGAAGGGTCTTCAGCAAATTACAAGCGACATGCAACATTAGGAGTCATGAAGTAGCAAGAAAAATGAAATGAATTTAAATATGCTTTTAATCCTATCTTTGGGGAGAACAGGATAAATTTATATCATTTTCAAAAGTACTATATCTTGAGACTTCCCAAAATAAGACAGTCCTGTGAATCCATAAGTATACTGTTGTAATATGGTAAAGGTTCCATTTACCATGGGTAAGTTACCATTAAGGGTGGTGGAGAGGATTCTCCACCTTCTTTTACTCCCACTCTAATTTTTGGAGACCATAGCCACAAATCCATATATACCCTGCCTAATTATTTCTTGCTAGCATATGTAAGACTAAGGAATAAACAAGCACATCAGAGCATGTTTCTACAAAACCTAATTTAAATAATGCTTGTCTTTAGGTTTTATGGTGCACAATTATGCTTGAAAGCAAAATATGAGAAAACATACAAGGAAAACTTGAATACTTTAAATTATCTTGTCATCTTACATGAATATAAAATAGGATCTTTACAGGAATGGTACATTTAAGTTAGAAACTGTTACATATGCTTTCATCACAACCAACTTTAGTGAAAATAAAGCACTCATAACATTGTCCTAAGCTGGATTTCTCAAGTATGTTCACAAATGTAGATTCAGAGTAAACTGTATGTGTATTTTTTTTTTAGACACACCACGGTTCAGTAAAAATGTTAGAAACTGAAGTAAATTAGGTAAAAATGAAATAATACATGTAAGGTGCCTGGATTCATGTCTGACACATAATAAGTGAAATATGTGTTTGATATCATTATTATTATTATTATTGGTAGTAATAATAGTCATGGTGGTATCACAGAAATGATAAAGAAAAGCCCTTTTGTAGACTCAGATGACCAACAATCATCCACACTTAAAAAATGTGGTATGTGATTAAATGTACAGTGATTCACATATAGAATGAGGGGGGAGAAGAATATATATGCATTTATCACTACTGAACTATATGTTTAAAATGGTAAAGATGGTACATTATACATCTATACTTTACCGCAAAAAATAAATTTAAAACATAGTAGAATCTTAATTTGATTTTTGTTAAAATATTGTCAGGATAGTACTAAGGAAAATTAAACCAAGGGGAGAATAATCACCTGTAAATACATCCTTAGTACAAGTACTATTTTTTTCCTTCATCATTTTTCAATCTTTGTCTATATCTTAGTCAAGATTCTTATATTGACTAAGCAATAGAGGTGAACAGCAATTTTTAACTGGATAGCAAATGATAACATAAGCAAACAGACAATGAGCTCCTTCCATAAATGGTTTAACAGGAGAAAGACTGATAAAGCAAAAAGACATGAAGTATTAATTACTCAAATTAGAATAGAAGAGTATTTTCAATGATAATGATCAGAATACAGTAATCACATAACATGATTAATCTTGGAATGTCTTCATTTTTCAATTGCACTTCATTATGGTAAATAAACACATCATCATGGTTCTCAAACAACTTTTATTTTAAAATATGCCACTAAAGCATATTTTTTAAGTTTTTTAAATATAATCATAAAAAAATTGAAAGAAAAATTCCCCAAATTTGTAATCATGCAACTAATTGTAGTCAGGACTTTAAAGGTAATAATGTCAAAGGCATAGATCTTAATTCTTTATTTCTCCAGTCACTTAAATAAGTGAGGAGATGTGAGAGCCAAATCAGCAAAGAAATTAAGAATTTTTTTTTCAACGATCATTTCTATATTAAGCTACTGAAGATGGGTGTGTTAAAGTGTGGCACAAGGGCAAAGTAGAATATTTCTCAACTCCAGTTAGTCCCAAAGCAAAATGATTCTGATCAAACCCTTGAGAGAGTGTGGGGGCAGATTGTCTAGAAAGTACCCAACTTTGCCCTACCGTCTCTCAGTTCTAAGAACCAACTAAACAGCAACTTAAATCTGGGGAAGAAAAACAAGTCTTATTGATTTATCATCTGAGCCTAATAATGAGAAGAAATGAACTGAAATAGCTGGTTCTTCAGAGCAGACACAACAAGAGACAAATGAGATATGAAAAGCACATATGCTGAGATGCCAAATATTCAAACCAAAAAAAGCTGTATAAAATTTTTATACTTGTTTTCAATCATATCTTAAACCTTACCCAAACTAAAAATATAAAGGGCATCTGTCTTCTTAAAATTTAAGTATGATCCTAACCCTTTAATGTTTTTTATATTTGAATTTCAGAAACATTAAAAGTGATTGTGGAAGTAGAAAATAATACTGATCTATCATTGGAATTTATTTGTGAATTAGCAAATTTTTTCCAGAATTTTTTTTCAAATACTCTACATCACCATCACCTTTAAGATCTTTACTGCACATTACAATAGGTTTCATAATTTATGCACTTAAATGGGATCATCTGTGTGCAACCTGAGCAAAAAATATCATCACTCCCTTACTTAATTCTATATTCGCAGGGTTGAGTAATTTTGCAAACTCCAAACAATTTTATAAAACTTTCAGGAAACCAGAGTGAAAAGTTACCCAGCTCCACTTCTGAGAGCTGACGCCCCATTCACAATCATTCCATTGAAATCTCACTGTAAAGCCCTCAGAACTCCTCAAATGTGTCTCATAAAAAGGAGGAACCCTGCAGCTGTCCTCCTCAAATGAGCAGGCCTCCTAGGAGGCCTGCAGAGAAATTTAAAGTCACTGATCATACAAGAGGCTTTGGAACTGCCAATACTTCACTAAAAACTTGGGATATTACTCAGAATTAGTTTATTAAAGCATGCCTTTAATCTTAATGTAATTTTATTCTGAGCATGCAGGGGAAGGTAAAAGGTGGAATTATGTAAACTTAAGCAAATAGAAATCATGCTCCTTGTGCTGTTGGAAAATTAATGTATAAATGTACATAAAGTCTTCAGTTTAATAGCAGAAAATTTATCTTCTATGCATTCTTCCTAGAGAAAGACAAAATGTAGAAAAAACAAGATTTTTCAGGTTTAATTCATGGAAAAGTCAGCATTAACAATCTTAACTGTTCAAAAGTTTGAATAATAGTCAAGATGATATGCAGGTCATTTCTGGTACACCAGTTAAAGATAGAAGACAGCATTATTAGGATGGTATTTAGTTTAAAACCTTCGCAGAAAAAATTGGAATGATATTATGGAAAGGGATTAAATATAAACATCAAATTAGTTCAGCAAGATTTCTTACTGCTAGATTCCAATAGTAAGTGTCAACAAGAGAGCTAAAATGAAGATACCCTTAGGGAAGACTGGTTTGGGAAAGACACATAAATGGACATTTATTTCAGTTTGATTCTTGACCATTTTCAGCAAATTTCCAATAAATTTACTTATCCATAAATTTCAATTACAATTTATCAATTTACTTTTCTGTGGAATAATCCTAAATATGTAAGCCTCTCATTGTATCACTTCATGAAAAGCATAACAGACCATTCATTAGCATTTATTTTGACTCATTGTTATCCATGTCTTTCTGATTGGTATTTTAAATATTATTCTTGCCTGAAAGCTGATAGAAATATAGGTTGGAAAACAGATGGTCTCTTCATTTTATTGTCTACATTACGTTACATTGGCCACATTGACAAAAAGCATATATAGGTAATCATGGAGGTCAACAAAAGTGGCTTCCAGTGGAACATACTGAGGGAAGACTGATTGCTCTACTACTTACTATTCTCTTTGTTCTACGTCATCTCTACATATTGGGTGGGTATGTGAATCTGTACCTTGTGTAGTATCCACCATTATACATCTCTAGCTGCCTTCCTGTTGCTCCAAGGAAACCATGAAATCAATGGTATCAAAGATGGCCTCCTTTCTTCCAACTCACCACTGGCAGGACAGACACCAAAGATAACTGTTGATCATACCACGGCATATTCTTCACCCATAGAACAGTAGTAATAGGAAAAGCAAGAATTTTGATTGAAAGAGAATTTATTAATGATAAGGATTTTGTGCTAAATCAAAAGGCATAAAGTCTCTTGTCAAATAGGGAAGATATATAATATATTGTATTTGAATTTTCCCAGGAGTTTTAATGCAATCCATTTTACTTCATTTTCTCTCTTTTTTTCAGTTCTCATGTTTATCATGAATAACACGTGATCCTAGGTAAATGAAAACTAAAAGTTACACTAGAAGATATGACTTGGGCTTGTACCAATTACAGAAATGATTCCTAATTCATATTTTCCCATGCACCAGTAACTTCAAAACAACTTTTACTTGTTTTCTTTTTGCTACTTTGTTTGCTTTGAATGTGACTATAATTACACTGTCTTACATAGGAGATATACAGGAGAAAATACTGCTGTTTCTCACCCTGTGATAGCAAACTGATTTAGTCAACTGGCAAAACTCAAGACCAATATCAAATGCCGTCTCATACAACTACAAGCTCCCAAAAAGTACACACTCACACACACGTAGGGTACTAATAACTTGAAACAAATGTGAAAGATTTACACCAGATGAACTATAACCATGAAAATGACTTTTTGCTTTAGCCTTAAAATGTGACATCTTGAGATTCATACTCAAGTAAATCATTATCTCTTTCTCACATTTGAATGACACCTTGATTGGTAGATTATGTTGTAGAAGTAAATTATGTTGTCTCATCCTCCTACTACTGGAGAATTTATGGTACTTATGGTTTCCCATCACTCAAATAATAAGCAATGTTCTGTCCATCTAAATGTCTGTTTTTTTCATAAAGGGAATAGAATATAGCCAGTGTCAAGTTAGTGCTATTTCTACCTAAGACATCTCAGATCTGACAAAAAAATGTTGTCGGCTTCTCTCATGTTCATTTAAGCGACGTATTTGTACTGAGGATTTTTAATGTTAATTTCAATTAATTCTCTCTAGCATCCCACACCTCTTCTTCAGAACAATTATCACAGTAAAATTAAATTAAAAATGGCATAGTATATAAGGGCCCTGAAGGCAAGAGCGCCTGTTTGTCCTCTGTTATATTCCTGATATCTACCAGGTCTGGATCATAATGAGTGCACAATCATATATTTTGGATTATTGAATGAATTTTGAAAAATTTGCAATACCTTCGACTCACTTCAAAAAGATGACTGTAAATGTCATCAAGTTAGTATAATACAAATTTTAAAACTCAATGAGCAAAAATTATATTAAAACTTTCAAAAAACAGAAACTCATATATTAGTCATACTTCTCCTTTGGAGGCTAGCAGTTTATCTAGTTTTAAACTATCATTTTCTCTGTGTTTCCAATGAAAAATATATATATTTTTATATAGAGAGATACAGTACTCTTTATATGTACTGTATCTATCTAAATATATATATACTGTTTATATGCATATATGCTGTATGATATATTCATTTTTAACTAGTGTTGAACAACAGGATAATGTTCCATGTTAGCTAGTTAATACGAAACTGAAGAATTTGGCAAATGTTCAGTATGATATGAAGTATAAAGTAGGAAATCATCTAGCATTTAATGTAATTCTTTGGTGTACTGGAAAATTGCTTAGTGGTCACAGCTCAAAACAGAACATTTTTCTTAAATACATTTTTAAATTTAAAAAAAAATGGGTATTAAGCCCAATGATGTGTCAGAGAGTGTTCTAGATGTATAAAATAAATTCCTTTAGCACTTTCATTTTAGTGGGAGGAAAGGAGAGAATAACAGGCAATAAATAAATATATACTGTGTCAGCAGGTGATAAGTGTTAAGAAGAAAAGTAGAGCAGGCACACAAAAGAGTAAGCTGGAGGTAGAGGAAGTATATTTTATTCAGGGTGGCTTGGGTTTACACAAGAGAATGAAGTTAATGAAGTCATTTAAGCTAATGTACAACAGCAGATTATTGAACACTCCCCAATCAAAAGAAAACCAGGCTTAAGAATATCATTGCTGTATGATACATTCATTCATACTCCTTAGTTCTAGATAATGTCAATTATCATTGGTCTAAGCCAGGCTGAATTAAACAATGAATCCCATAATTAACTGCTAGTGAGAATTATAAATTGCTGTTGTGACTATGAAGGATGGCAGGTCACAGATTCAACTGTGCTGATTGCAGCAGTCACCAGATGGAAGTTTATTCAGTATAAACGAGCATGAGGTTTCACATAAGTAATTTTTTTGTTTAAATTTAAATTTGCAACCTACCTTTAGTGCTATTATAAAACCAGTTGGGTTTGATTTATTTAACAGACTTCTGTACTGCTGAATAGAGTAGTCCACAGAAGCGTGTGTGTAAGAGAAAGCTCTTCTCTAAATCCTGTCTTTATCAGAGCCTGCCTCATGGATGTAAATTCTACATCCTATACCTGTTTAACAAGTTAAATTTTTAAAAATATTATTTATTAATGAGTTACTATAATCGCTTCCCGAAAAGTTGAAAACTGTAACTATAATAGTTAAAATATGCTCTAACAGCTGCCTTTATTACTTAAATTGCTTTTTATTGCAGAAAATTGACAACTATTTTTCCTTTGAATTGGAAATATAGGAAGGCATTGTAAGTAAACCCAGGCTATTTTTGTATTTCATCTTTCCCCAGAATTTCCTTTTCAAAATTCTTCATTTCTAACTTTATTCCATGAAGATATTTTTAGGAATAGTTAGTGTTATGAGTCATTGGCATGTTTTACGCTCTCACATGGTGAATGACATTATACTAATATTTTTTGCCTTATCAAATATGATAAATATAAGATTTTCATTTGTCTAGAATAATCACCGCAATTTTGTTATAGCCATGATGTAGGCTCTCTCTATTGCATCAAAAAATGAAATAGGATATTCAAATTAATGTTTATTTATGTGAACATTCACACCAACACATATGTACAACTTTATGAACTGGAGAGAAAAGAATAAAAGCCCCAATAAATTGCTTAATACACAAAAGGTGGGGAATGACTCTACCAAGAAGCAGCAGCACTTGGATAGCTCTCATTGGATCCAAATCACAGTATGCCTCATAATGAGATTTCATTTGAGCCTATTAAGAATTCTCTGCCTGTGTCTGAGCTCCACCATCAGGAGGGTTGGAAAAGAGGAACTACAGTGATGATTCTAGTTGAAATATAAGATCTAAGAAGATGGTAACAGAAATGATGGAAGAGGAGGATGCCAGGAGACGTGAAGTGTGTGTATGCAATGGCTCAAGGACATAGATTCAGTACCTTGTCACAGGCAGCCTTGGTTCTGACTTCACGCTCTGTGACCTCACTGGCCACATATTTTCTTCCTGGTTGCAACAATGAACAGTAGGCTTTTCATTTGAAGCACACTGCAGACCCTAATAGTTGCTAATCTAAGAGTCCTTCTGTTAACTAATTTTACAACATTTGTTATAATTAAAAGAGATTTTATCACCCACTCTTTCAGTTATTTTATGAAGTCACCCTGAGGACTGAAAACTATGACCTGCTATGTTTGGAAACATGTTTTTTAAAATCAGGCAGAAAAGTAGGAATAAATCTGAAAGAGGAGACCAGCCTTACTTTCTTCTATATGTTCTTTCATCTTTTTTTTAAAGAAAATATGAAAAATATTACCAAAATGTTTTTTTCCAGGTACTCCAACATTTTGGCACTGGTTAATGCTTTATGTTACTTTTTCTTCCAGGAGCCTTGGCTGCCAAAGGGTAACCCTGCACAAGAACATGTTTCTTACTTACATTCTGAATTCTATGATTATCATCATCCACCTGGTTGAAGTAGTACCCAATGGAGAGCTCGTGCGAAGGGACCCGGTAAGTACTGCATAGTTTTGTTTTTACTTTTATTTTAAAGGATATAGTACCTGTAAATAGTGAACATGGTGTTCATGTTGGACTTAAGCAGCTGTTTACATGTGTAATCATATTTACTTCTACCGTCGAGTTTTGCATTTTGTGAGGCATATCATTTCTATGTAGTTTCTGTAAGAAATTATAGCAGATAAGAATCATACAACAAACCATATATATATATATATATACATATATATATATATATATATTTTTTTTTTTTTTTTTTTAGATAGAGTCTCACTCTGTTGCCCAGGCTGGAGTGCAGTGGTGGGATCTCAGCTCACTGCAACCTCCGCCTCCCGGGTTCAAGCAATTCTCCTGCCTCAGCCTCCTGAGTAGCTGGGATTACAGGCATGCGACACCATGCCCGGCTAATTTTTTTGTATTTTTAGTAGAAACGGGGTTTCACCATATTGGCCAGGCTGATCTTGAACTCCTGACTTCGTGATCTGCCTGCCTCGGCCTCCCAAAATGCTGGGATTACAGGTGTGAGCCACCACACCCGGCCCAAACCATGCATTTCTAAGACTAACCAGTAATTTATTAACATTTATGACAAATGTATTGAGCACCTCTTGTGAACATAGATGATACTAGGTACACTAAGGCAGTGCTTCCCCGTGATTCTAGTGTGCCACAAATGGTTACAGGTGTGCCTAGATATTGATCCCCTCTTCATTCTGTTGCCAAGTTGGGCTTGGCCCAGTCATCTCTCCTATGAGTAGCTATTCCCTTTTGCTAATGAACCATATAAATATGATCATGTTTTGTGTCATTATGCTTTGGAAAAGGTTTATAATGACACAGGAAATGCAAAAGTTAGGGCAACAGGACATACATCTCTGAAACTCATGCCCACATGCACAATTGCAACAAGCAAATATGGTGACTGTCCTCCTTCTATTTGAGTACTATAGAGAACAGGAGAGCTGAAATCATTTAGCTCCATTACTGAGAACCATTCTGGATTTTTCCTACCAGAATTGTCCTGAGAGTTGTTCAGAATAACCCATATTTGTCATCAGTCTTCTCTCTTTATACTCAAGATACTGTTTTTCACAGTGATTTCCAATCCTGGCTGCACTTCAGAATCAACAGGGGAGATTTCATAAATATGAAATAGCTACTGTCCACATGGTACTAGAGAGTCAGTAGGTATGAGGTGGAGCCGAGGAATATACCCTGGATATTTCTTCTGTGCTGCCAAGTTTGGAAATCATCAGCCAACTACTGGATGAAGCAAATAAACTGGCAGGGGAGGACAGAGGAGGAGCACCTTGAGGCTCTGCTTTTTCATTGATATCAGTCCCTGGTATTACAAACTAACAAAAACCAGAACTAAAAAGGATTTTGGAGGTTATTTATCCCTGACTCCTCATTTTACAGATCAGAAACTTGAGGATAAAAAGGCAAAGCAATTTGCCTCAAATCATATAACTGATTGGAGCGGGGAGCAGGCACTCAAATTCAGGTCTCCTTACTCTCAGTTTTTGTTCTTTCCTTTGCATTGTCACATGTGTCTCTGTAAATCAGTGAGGGCTTAGTAACACCAAACTGGTTGATTAGTTTTCCACATCTACCAGATTAATTTTTTAAAAATCAAATCACTTTGGTGCTGTGATACCAAGTAACCATTTACTTTACAGAAATTTTTATTTATCAATCCACTGTTTAAATAATTTATAATTGCAGCCTCTATTATTTAATAGTTATTTTGCCCTCAGTAAATATTTTCATCCCAAAAAGTCCCCAAGTACTTCTCTGCTTTCTCCTTTGCAAACCTGCTTTCCTTAATTTTAACAACAAATCTTTTCCTTATTTGTTAATGGACTGCACTTTAATTGAATGATTCAAAATAGTTTAATGATATAACTGTTTATTAGATTGAGTATGAAATTAGGAATATTTGATAATTTTTGTTCTGCAAAATTGGTGAATCCATATGTTTTATCCTAATGCAAATGTGGAGACAATACGCTGGAATCTAGTAACAGTAGGGACTATTATCACCCCAGGCCTGAATGGACAAGTGGAGGGAAAGGTATATGAACCCGAAGACAGAGAGGTGGTGTGGTAAAGGAGGCCCTGCGGAAACTGAAGACTTCTGTCTTAGGACACGGCCAGCCTATGGCAACCCCACAAAAGGAAGTGGAGAAATAAATATCCCTTGTTCACTCACTCTCATATTCCAGTCTCTACTGATGGTCCCCATAGCTGAGCTCAACCAGAAACCAGAGGGCAAGGCAGCCCTGCTGGAGATGTACAGATTTATTTCTGTGGGCCCAGGGCAGTGGGAGCAGGATGGAAAGTGCATCTGGAAGCACAAATAGAAGCTATCTAGCTCACAGTGAAGGGCCAAGGGATATTTTCATTTTTGTTTCTCTGCTTAACTGTGTTATGCAAACATCTGTAGATAGCCTCATCTTTCAAAACTGGCTTTTGACAATTCTGCCAACCCAATAACTAAAATGCGTGAAATCTGCCCAGAGCATGCATCCTGTGTGACAGTGGCGTGGCGTGGGAAAGCAGCTTAATTTGGCTTCTAATGGCTCCAGAGTGTTAATAATTTTTGTGGTATGAATATATGCAGAGAGACATTATAATCTATCTTTTAAAACCATGGCATCTGTTATCAGAGACAAAGTCCAGTCTTACCTGCAGAATAATGGGACCAAGTGTGTTTATCTTGATGAATTTTCCTTTTTAATGTCAATTGATTTAAAGAAAATTTATCTCTAATTTAATCTTTGCAATATCCGAGCAATGGATGGAATTATCCCCATTTTTAAAGCTGGGGAAACCGAGGCTCGGTGAGAGTAAGTGTCCTCCGTAGCATGAGTACTTAGAGATGGGATTCAAATCCAGACCTATCTCACACAGCAGCCAACCTCTCTTCTTTACCACTTGGTGCTGTTGATTGTCTTTATTTATTGTCCTAGAAAGATGTGTTCTTAAAGAAATGGGCTCAGCCATTCCGAAGTGATCGCCGCCTATAACCAGACATGCCCACTACAGTTAATTAGGGAAGCTGAACCCCACTGAGGTGAAAACAGAGGTAGAAGCAATTAACTAAGAATCTCTCTGCAGAAAACAGTCACATTTTGGCTCTCCATTTCCCATTAAGAGTAGAAACCGTAGGAAAGTTACTCTCTGTACGGAGCAGGCCAAGAAATGAGGCTTCCGTTTTTGAATAATCAACTACATTGATCTGGGAGCATGCTCAGTCACATTACGAAGTATCATAATTCTTGAATAGACTCTTTCTCTTCTTTTTTTGGGAGTCTCACACCCATATCTCCCTGTCTCCCATCTGTAAATGTAAAAGGGACTTCTTATCCACTGTGAGATCTTGTTCAACCTATCTTCCTGAAATAGTCAAAATTCAGGTTTTTTTCTGAGTTTGCTACTAAATTATAGAAACCATGTAGCTTTATGCATCTAATGAGAATAACAAAAACTGCTCTGCTCACTTCCCAGCGGTTGTCCTGGAGCCCAAAGAAGCATAAAGCTTTTCAAAACTCCCAAGGGCCTAATATTACAAGTGATTGCTCACAAGGTTGCTGTCAACTCTCACCTTATGACTAACTCCCTAGGTCTCTGTACTTGACTTTTCCAACAAATCTGTTACTCTATTAATTGCTCTTGGCAGTCTCATTATTGTCATTGCTAGATGTTTCCACTTTCGTAGGCTTTTTAGGGGTAGACATGCCCAGGGACTCTGCCAGACACAGCACATAGGCTGTCCCCCAGCCACCACTAAGTCAAAACACATATGCCCTGCAGCTCCTGTATCACCTAGTAACCTTTAATAAACCCCATAAGCAGGTGTCTAGGGACCTGGCTCTGCCACTAGGCACCTGATTTCCTAGGAGAATATGAGTGTGAGATTTAGGGAGCCAGAGAAATTAACAGGAAACTTTCTTCTGTGTATAGAGGAGTGAGATTGATTCACCCAAACACACTAGGCATTCTTAAAGTATGTTTGAAAGAAAGGAAAGAAGCTTATCTTTATGACATGACTAGCACCTGGTTCTTCCAATGTATTTTTAACCTAACAGACTTGCTGGTTTTAGCTATATGAGAGCAAACTTCCTAAGGAAAAACAATAAAACATTTTAAAGATAGAATTTTATCCCATCAATCAAGTACTTATTGACCACCAAAAATGTAACTTTTAGCCCTCAGGCTGAAATGAATTTATACTATTTTGGAAACATATCTGTGACATCCCCTTCATGATCCCTCACAATGAGCCAAGTCTCACATGGAAATAGCTTTGTGAGTCTTGCAACCACACATATGGGGTTTGGTCACATTTTTACCTCTTTCAAACTGTTTTTTTTTTTCTACAGAAAACAAAGAGGCAAAAAACTTGGATATTTTTCTCTATATGCCTAAAAGGGCCCATTTCCCTCTGAAGTTAGACAAAATGAAAACAAGCCACCAATAACAAGCCACTTACAATGATCAATGGGGCAATATCATATGTGAGAACACACTGTGCCTCTTGCATATTTTCAAATGTCTGTTTCTTCCATAAGAGAAAATTTGGAAACACATGTCCCTCCTCAAATACATATAAACAGCATAGACTAAAACAAAATAACTACAATGACAAAACTTAATTCATGTCTGTAGATTGTGAAGCATACACTTCACCCAGAGGAAATAAACTAGGCTATTTGTTTTTAAGCACTTTCTCTATTTTAACACAGTCGTTTTCCAATGAGAGTTTTGTTAGATCTCTTATCTAATCCTCCATATACAAGCAACATAGGGTTGCTCTCTCTAGGCATGGGAAAATCAGTTTAAGAAAGGGAAGGAAATAATTCTCAAGAAGACATGTTTTATACATTATTCATCCTTGAAACTGCTTATGTGCCACCACCAACAGGAACACACATGGTGAAATTTGTATTGTATTTCACCTTGAAAATCCATATTCTGTCATAGAAGTCCAATTTCTTGAGTATCTTTTCTCATCCAAAAGATTATTAAAGTAGATTACAGTTGAAACTGTAAATTCAGTTATCATGAAAGCAGTTTTCCCCATTGTAATACATTTCATTATGAAGGGGATAAACAAGAACTAGGAAAGATTTTATTGCTATTTTCAAGACCCATCTTTTCTAGGATAGAATTCTTCACTTCTAAGGATACAGGCAAAATAGTATCCAAAGGCTGAGAATCATGTCATCAACATTACTAAGTCACATGAAGAATCATATATTTAAAATTACTTGAAATAAATTATTTTAAATACTGAATTTTTCTTGAAAAACTGACACTCCAGAATACATTAGATTAAGGTCCTCCCTAGCCAAGAAAAGTAGAGACAAGGGGAAAAAAGAAGAAGAAGAAGAAGAAGAGACAAAGAAAAGCAGCCAAAAAAAAATTTGGGGAAAGAGAAGTTATTGAACATTGTCAACCTACAAATATTTATTGAAATTGCAACTAATATGAGAACGACAACCACAGTTATAAATAAAGAAAAGCGTATCTATCAGCATGTCATCTGTCAGTAATTCGGGCATATGTTTTCTTCAAAAAAAACCCACAATACATAATTTTTAAAGACAGTTTATTCTTAAGCAAACTAAAGACAGACAGAGGGGTGGGTTTTGTGTGTTTGTTGTTGTTGTTTGTTTGTTTTCATTTTGGACCAATTCAGGGTCACTGAATCAGCAATGATTTTCCTCACCAATGCCCATGGGGATATATTAAAAAGTTATTTTTTGAAGAGGAAGTTTGCCTTATCCCAAATGTTGTCACACTATTTCTATAAGGTTTTTCTTTGGTTATTATTTTGTTGAGGGTAAGGAAAACACACACACACACACACACACACACACACACACACACACAAAATGCCCTGTCCTCACTGTCAGTGGAGAATCCCTGTGGATTTGTGGTCCTTTTCCCATTAAAGTAGTTTCTTCCCTGGGTAGTTTTTGGAAAGTTATATTATCTCCTGAATGGCCAAGGGTGAGAATCTTATTCCTTCCATGTTCTTTTTTTAAAAAAAGTTAAACTCAAAATAACTCATGGCATAAAGAGGGGCTGAATACATCCTCAGTTTATTGAGTGATGTGAAAATTGCCCATTGTTATTTGTGTCATTTGAGCATTTCATTTCCATAATATCTGAAATGTTATTTTTTTTTTTTGTTCTATCTGCTCATTCGATGAGCTTCATGTAGAAAGTCAGGAGGCAGAATTAAAAGCATTGTTCTTGCTGCATCTAAAGGAAGCTAGCAGGATACTTGTCATTTTTTAGAAATAAATTTCTCTCTAATTTTTTTTATCTGGTTCTGAAAGGCACAATGCAGAGAGATTAGTTTTTACTGGAAACCTGAGCACTTTGCACCTCAGAAACTGAAACAATCGAGTCCTATTTTCTATAGCCTCTTATATAAGTAAAGTCAAATGAGTTCCAAGTTCTGGAAAGCAACATGAATGTCTTCTAACCTTTATTTTTTCAGAACGATTGAGCCACCAGGCTGTGTAGGAGCTTCTTCTTAGGTAGTCACAGGAAGATTAGCTTAGAATGGATGCTCAGAGCCAAGACACTAGAGAAGACAAAACCCAGGGTGGAAACTGGACTCCTGCCCAGCCCAAGGGAGGCTGGTGCAAGGGACAGTATGTAAATGTGACAGAGGTAACCGAGATAGCAGAGTTTTTGAGATGAGAGGTCAATGGTAAATAAAACCAGATTGAAATGATCTATTTCAGTAGCTTATGGAAAAAACTAGATTGGGAACGAAAGTGTATGATGCATTTGAAGGACAATGCAGAGACAGTAATGCCAAGATGTGGTAATGGAATGAAGTATCCTACCCTGGTCATCTATGCTACTTCAGTTTACTTATATGTCAAAACCAATAAATGGTCTTTTAACCAAGGTCACATGGTGCAGAAAAGTATAGAGGATTTCTTTATTCCTTTTTAAAGTTATTATTTATAATTGGATGCTTTCTCATACGGATTTGAAGGAGAATCTCTTCCTAAAGTGGATATAAACATATACCCAATCTCCAGTTTCTTTCATTTGGCCGATCTTGGTGGTACCTCTACACATGAAATCAGTGACTTACAAATGGTATCTTGTGACATGTTTTACACAGAAAGTCTTCATCTCAAAATTTGCAGTTAGCTTCCCCTGCTTTGAGAAGGCTGTCATGAACTTAGTGCAGAATTTGTTATATATTTGTTTTTATTGTCAAAGAGCTTCCAATTGAGATGGTAGAGGTTTGCACACTCCGTTAGGGTATGTTGGATCATTGCTGGAACGTTGTGAAGTGACACTCGATTTGATATTTGTTGTGCTTAGCTGGATTACTCCAGATTACATCATTGTTCTTGCTGAACTTCAGGATCTAAGTCCTCGCTCTTCTACTTAACAGATGAATCTTTAATATTGAGTAAGTTACTTAACCTAACTGTGCCTTGCTTTCCTAATGTATAAAATGGAGATCATAATAGTACCTTTCTCATAAAGCTGTCTGTGAAAAATAAGCTAATATGCCTAAAGTCCACAAAACGTCATCTGACACACAACTCTCAAAAATCAGCTGTCATTATTTGTATTATCGTTGTTAGCTTTATCATTAGGGCTTTATCACCTGTCAATTACTAACTGTGGCACCTTGTTCATTTCTGTGTGATACAGCACAGGAGGTGTGAAACTCAGGGCACTTGTAAAACACTGCTTAAATCTAAAAGGGACTAAGCATAAAAGTAGAATACACATATGTAGAGGCTTGTAAATAACAAATAACCTGAAGGGCTGTGGTCTGAAAATATACAGCTAAATAAGTGGTGGCTTGAGCATCCCTAATGAAGAGTGATATAAGACTCTCACTATACCATATAGAGAAAAAACCCTAAGAGTACTAAGTGGTTAACTTTTATTCCCCTATCACATTTCTTTGTTGTTGTTGTTGTTGTTTTGTTTTTTAATCAGAATTGTGTAGAGCCTACACTTCTGTTTGCCCTGGTATTGTCTTCTTAATACTTCCAAAGTGCTTCCTTTGCCAATTTCAGGATCATCTCCTGCTGTATTTATCTCAGATGAGACTTTTTTCTCCAGTGTTTGTTTTTAATTCTTTTCCTAAACACACCAAATCACAACCACACAGTTCCATAAACTCAAACTCATTTTCTCTGAGGCTTTATCAGGAATCATCTCAAGATTGCATAACAGACTCACTTTTAATTGAAAATGTTGCATCCTTAAATTCCTCTGGAGAAAGATTGCAGTATTTTCCTACAAAGCTGCTTACTGCTAGACTTTCTGATGAAGTTTCTACTTCATTCAGCTGGCTTTAAAGACTGTACAGGTTGACAGTTTTCCAGGTGAGCCGAGGGTCTTTTTGTCCCTTAGTTTATCAACTGAACTGGTATTTTGACAAAAAGGCCTGTAATTCCTCCTTATGAGGTTTTAAAATATATGTGAATCAAAGTCAGGATGTTTCTCATTGGGTTGTGAGTTTACTGCAACAGGAGTTTACAACAACAGGAGTTGCAGTAAATTCACTGCAACAAGTACTGAGGAGACTCTCTCTGAACCCTAAATTCTTCCAAGATGTGGTCTGCATCAGCATCACCTGGGCTTCGGTTAGAGATGCAGAATCTCATGTAGGCTTTTACATGGGCATCTTGCGTGGAGTTGAGGTTTGGGGTACAGGTCCTGTCACTCAGGTAGTGAGCATAGTACCCAATAACTGGTTTTTCAACACATACCTTCCTCTCTCCCTCTTGCCTCTAGTAGTCCCCAGTCCCTGTTGTTTCCATGTTTATGTCCTTGTGTGATCAATGTTTAACTCTCACTTGTAACAGAGAACATGTGATACATGTTTTCCTGTTCTTGCATTCATAAATTTAAGATAATGGCCTCCAGATGCATTTATGTTGCTGCAAAGGATATGATCTCATTCTTTCTTATGTCTGCATGGTATTCCATGGTGTATATGTATCTTCTGTATCTGTAATAAAAGGAGAAATTTAAAAAACTAAAAAATAAAATTAAAAGATTATTATGCTTAAATAAATAAATAAGAAATGCAGAATCTCAAGCCCCACACCACAACTTCTGAATCAGAGTCTCAAATTATTTCTCATGGACAAAGGCTGACTGGTGAAAAACGAAACTTGTGTGATGACCCCATGAAGTGGGACCCTTTCCATCATTTTTTTGTTTGTGTGTTTGTTTGTTTTCTCTGTAATTGCTCTTTTTCTGAGGAAATACAGTTTGGGATGGAGGGGTGGAAAGAAGGGACTCTGAGTATATTTGATTCAGACAAAACTTATTTTCTTTTAATTGAAATGATAAGGGGAGCAGAAAAGGACATGCTTTTAAATGAACCCCATGTAAAGATGGCCATTGCAGAAAAAGTATTCAATTGCATACATAAATAGGACTTCAGTGGCGAGCATCCTTCTTAGTGTCACATGTAATTGAATTTGGCTGATAAATAAGCCTTGCATCTCTTCTTTATGAGAAAAAGTGCTTATGGATTTTACATGTAATAGGTTCAAGGGTTTTGAAAAGTTCTGGATGATTTGCATGCAGTGTAAATAATTTAAAAATGTGAACTATTGTTACGAGGTGAAAGCAAGTATACTATCAAAATTTAACTACGATGTTTACAGGCAACTATATTTTTAAATATTTTATTTGAGGATTATCTCAAGACCAGAAAGGCATTAACATAAACTACAAATCATGAAGGCAGGAAGTGTCTCAAAAAAAAAAAAGTATTACAACTAAATAGATAAATTGGGGGAAAAAGATTACTCCTGAAATGTAGATGGACTGTTATTGAGCTACATATCCTGTAATATCTGAATCATATAAGACCACTTTTTGAAGAAAATTGTTTTATTTAAATTTTCCCATATGATTATCCTACTACCATAATTTTCATGTGATGTTACAGGGTATATATTACAGTGGTTCATTATCTGAAATTGATTAAAAATAAAATGGTGATGGCTGAGTAGCTCCTGTCTGGCAAAAACCTCTCACAGATAACAACTACAAACCCTGAACAAAATATAAAAAGAAATTATCTGAAGACCCTGGAGAGAGACCAAGACAGGGAGATGCTAGAAAGAAGATGAGACTTTAAAATGGAGATAGTTGTGAGTAGAGTTCCCTTGGTTTTATCCCTTTCCAGGACAAGTAAAACTCTGATAGAAAACTCTCAATTTTACTGACTTGAATAATATAAGACAGAATTTAGGGCAGCTACAGCTCCCCAAAAGTGAAGGAAATAAATCTCAAAAAGAAAAGAGTCAGAGAAGAGGGGCCTCAGATTCTGTGTATATACTTGTGTGTAGTCTTTCACTGACCACATAACCATGTGAATGTGGAGTCCATGAGCACATCATACTTGTTTAATATGTATTATTTAGTGTATGAATGAAAAGATGATCTAACAGCCATACCCTTCATAGAGCATTCCAACAAGCTAGAATACCTCATATCAAATGTATTTACTTTAAGAGGTCTGACAGAGAAAACAGAACATCTCAAGGTAGGATTAGGGCACCTTTACTAATCTTTAAAGGAGGTTTTTCCATTGTCCCTTGTTTGACATTTGGAAGTTGTTTAACACTTGAGTAATGAACCACAGTAAACTTTGTTCCAGATGAAAAGTGTTCTTTTATGTTGTAAAGTGAAAGGATAGATGGAAAAGGATAGCTTAAAGAATGCTACAAAATGGTGCAAATGGCCATGGAATATTCACATGCCCCTTGGGCAGCCTTTGCCTATACCCAAAGGCACATACGCATGCCCAGTCTGAAGACCATAGCGCAAAGGGAAACACCTGTTTGACCAAGACTGCAGGGGATAAATGACAGGGTATAGCAGACCTTAGGGACTGCCATCCTCTAAAGAACTCACACTGGAAACCTAGAAAAACTTGACAAAAATTTAAGATGCCCCCACAGGAATTCATCCAGCATTGTAAGTTTTCTATTGATGTCAGCAGCCTGACCGCTGCAGATATGTACTGATCTTTGTAGACATTTGTAAGAATTGTAGTGCTGTTAGGTAAAAAGTTCCCTGGAATTTATTTGTCAGATCATAGATAAGCAGCTCTTGTTTGGATACTTGATAAAATAATATTGAATTAGGAGTTAAAATGTTTTCAATCGAACAACGTTATAAACACTACCCAAAGCCTTATTCATTTTGATTTAATAAGCAACTACTGCTCACTTTCTATATAAATATTATTGGGTTTAAGTCCTGAGGGTGGAGATGGAAGAGGCAGCAGAGACATAAAGGTGATGAATCAGGTAGAAACATATTTAACAGCAATTACACATTCACTCAATATGTAGTCTAGATATACATTAAATAAAACTTAATAAAAAAATTAACCTGGCCAATTTAACCAACATAGACCACAAATCTTTATCATTCAGTCTCTCTTAAAATGTCTTTTCCTTCAGGTAAAATATTTAGAAATTGACTTATTGATTCTTCTTCACCTGTTCAAGTAAACATCACTTCACACTCTTCCCTCTGTGCTAAAGCAAACTGATAAGAAAACATTTTTAGAAGCTTCAGGGAAATGTAAATAACTATCTTTAATCATTAGAGATCATGCTGAACATATAGAAAAGTTTATTTCTGTTTTGAAACAAAACTTGGCAGAAATAAAATTGGCAGCTTTGATTCAGTGCAAAGTATTGTGGAGTTGGTACTATTTAGACCATTTCGAAATAATTTTTAAATATTTTATTTATTAATATGTTTGTATAGTGGGTAATGTGGTTTTAGTTGTTTGCTGTAAGTTTCCAAACATATTTATTTGGCCCTCTAGTAACTAAAGAAACAGAGAAGATACTCTTCAGGCTCTTCATTTTGCCTCAGTTTTGTCCATGCGAATTTGAAAAGTAAATCAACAGTCAGCCACCTCTTTTACTGTAAAGTAGCCTGTATTGCAGCCCGCCAAAAATAGAAAAGTTGGAATAAAGTAGAATGTGTTTGACTTTGGCAGAATCTGCTAATCTGTTCCTTATAAATTTTCACACAAACTGGGTAGATTATTTAATATTAATAACATAAGCCCCACTAGTCTGATCCATTTTTTCTCCTCTGACTTAACTGAGAAGAGAATTTTTAACTGTCTTAAAATAGGCTACAAAAATTACTTTTTTTAGAAATCATTGTACATAGTGGCACTTATTTGTTTATGTATCTGTCTCCCCACCGGAAGGTAACTTCTTTGATTGCAAGCATTGAACTTTATTTTTGCAGCCCTAGCCCAGGATTGGACACAAAAATGCAAGCACAGTTACTGCATCAAACTTAGCCACTGTTTTGAAAAACCAAAAGAGCTTATCTAAAGTATGCATTTTAATCAAATCCTGGCAGAATATAGGAAACATATGGCTGTTATTTTTAATTCTCCTTTGCCAAATTTGTTTTACAGCAAAACAAAACTAAAACATCTCACAAAATTTTCCTTAATGTGTTATTGTACCTAACCATATGAAATCAACACAGAAGCTGAATCTAATACCCCAGTTTTACCAATGAGAGGGAGAAATTGCAGTAGTTTTTTGTGTGTGTGTGTGAAAGCTAAGAGTTTTTGTGCACACGAAATGTATCATGAGAATTAAGTATACCCTGAAAATGAAATATGCACAGGCTTGGCCTTGCCAAAGTTTTCAGAGCGCTTACTTTTGGCAACACTTCCCTGGGTCTTCTCTTTGTGAACCTGTGAAGATGGTGAGTTTCTTAGGAGTAGGGACTCTGTTTGACAACTTTGGATCTTCTAGCCTACTGCCTGCAATACAGTACAAGCTCAATAAATATTTGATAAACCACATTCCAAATCTGCATTCTCTGTGATCCCCCAGCCCCTCAATTTTCCTACTCTATGGTTTCAAAGAGTGATAGGACAAAATGTGTGTGTAGTCCCTTCCTGAGGTATTGGCATTTTAGTAAGGAAAACAGCTTTAAGCTAAAGAAATGAAACCGTATGGCATGTCAGGCATTCTGAAGATGATGGAAGGCATTCTGAATGGCAAGATAGTATTCCTTAGCTCCCTGTTATACATGGTAATAGGCCTGTAGTGCAAATGATGCCAAGAATAGTTCATGGTGGATTTTCAATTGCTTAAAAGTAGGACATAGGCCATGATCATTGCTTTTCGTTGTTTCCACAGATCAGCTCTGGTCTCCTTTCTATTTCTCATACTTAAGGTCTTCCTCTATTTCTCATACTTAAGGTCTTCCTCTACCCCCACCACAACAGAAAAACACCTCAAAACATTGATTACCTATTATAAGGTTGGTCTTGTTTCTCAAAAACAAAAATTCCAAAGCAGTTTACATTTGGAGGCACTCTTTGCTATCGATGGTTCTTGAACATATTGCCACACAAGATTTCCTATGTTATGTAGATTAGAGGAATTTTCTTAAGTGTCCTTGAAAAATATAATAGGAAATAAATTCACTACTGAACATCTATCTTCTATGAAGTTTTGAGGTTGACTTGATGTATTAGACTAAGGAAAACCTGTGTTCTATAATTCTGATTCCATTTTTAATCAAATTATTATAAATGCCCTTTGGGGCATTTTGTGGAAAAGATAGATTAAATAGTGTACCCAATTAAAAAACTGAAGGATCCCTTCCGCTTGAAAGTTACATACTGCTCAACAAACTGTATGTTTTATTAAAACATGAACTGGTAGTAAGGGCACTGAATAGTGATATGACTCATTGAAGCCAAAGTGGATAATATGGCTTTCACTTACATATCATTCACAGTGGCAATTATCTCTTTTTATATTAATGAAGAAAATAAAATGGAGTATAACTCACAAATTTTATCTATTTTTGGCTTCAAGTATTTCTTGTTTTACTTGGAAGTGATGCATTTATATTATTTGAGTGCAGATTTTTGTCTTGCAATTTGGAAGATCATACTACTTAAACAAAATTACACTGGTGTGACTTATCTTTAGAAAGCTAGTGGAAAGTTGCTTAGCTTATTTGATCTGATCTGAGTGACTTCCTTAATACCCCATGCTGCTAATTAAGAAACCATCTCAGAATGAAGGTAAGGACTAACCCTAATCAAGAGGCCCCATCATTTTGTTTAATGCCTGGTTTACTCCACCCTTGACAGAAAGGTTATAATTAAGTCAGGGGCTATATGACAATATCTTATTCATGTTGATACTCCCAGAGCTAGCTTAGTTCCTGGCTCATAGCAGGTGTTCCATAAATGTTTGTTGAATGCAACTGAATTACCTTGAATATCTTGGGCACAGGATTCTTAATCAGGGGCCTAAATTAGAAA
Source organism: Homo sapiens (assembly GCF_000001405.40). NCBI lineage: Eukaryota > Metazoa > Chordata > Mammalia > Primates > Hominidae > Homo > Homo sapiens. The sequence continues at coordinate 93,446,452 of NC_000007.14, read as the reverse complement.
TTCTGAAAAATAGTTTGAAAACAAAAAGAGAGATGAGGTGTGGTTCTGTATATTTCTTAAAAAATTATCAGGTGACACTGATAAACCACCTTAGTTATGAAACACCGATCTAAGTGCTAAACTATTTTTGTGAAAAATTCTAATAGTCAGCTTGATCACCTAGATATTTCTAATTATTTTCATGAGGTGTTTCTTTTAAAAATGAATAGACTGGTGATTTTTAAAATTTGTGTGAGCTTTTGAGGCCTTTAGCCTCCAAGCAATATCTTGCGTCAAACCCAAATATGGTCAATTCTCATTTTTATTCATGAATTCCACCTTTGCAAATTTGTCTTTTCCTATAAATTGTTTGTAACCCCCAAATCAATACTCCTAGCAGATTTGCTATCATTCACAGACATTCACAGAATGTCCAGAAATTGGAGCCACCTGATGTACAGCTCCCAGCTGAGGTTAAAGAAGGCAATGCTCTCTGTGCCTTCTTGTTTCAGTTCTCATACTACGAACAAATGTCCTTTTTGTGGTCTATTTAGTGCCACAATTTTTACATTTTTATGAATTTGTAAATTGGTTGGTGATTTTATTGTTTTAAATAGCCCCTCAAGCATAGTACTGAAGTGCTGTATGATGTTCCTAAGTACAAGAAAGCTGTGATGTGGCTTACAGAGAATATGTGTGTGTTGGAGTTTTCTTCAGGTAGAAGTAATAGTGCTATTGGTTGAGAGTTCAGTGTGAATGAAGCAGCAACATATGTTAAATAAGTTGTCTTTAAACAAAACACATAAAACAAAGTTAGCTATTGATTGCTGGGTGAAAATATTTGTGACCAGAGGCTTACAGGAACCTAACCATGTGTTTTCCCTAGAAGCAATGGCTCAGTATTTGCTATTTCAGTTTTTGAAGCAACTTTATAGACCATAACTACTGAAAATAACAATAATTAACTGTATATAAAACTGGAAGCCAAAATTGCTCTGGGTGACAAAGGCATAAGACCATCATCTTTGTTCTCTTCCCATCTCCTTCTCCCCAAGTGACAGCCTCCAAAACATATGCTTAATTTCTGGATCCAGAAAGAATAGGGCTTTTAAATAAGAATAGCCTTCCAAATGAATCCAGAGTAACAACTGAATTTCACATTTTATTTATATACTTGGGTGTTATGTAAATATAGCAAGTACTTGCTTAGAAAATACAAAACTAACATTATATTAAATAATCCCAGTTAGGAAGGTAATCAGATGGCGGGGAGGGAAGCCAGTGCTTTTCTGAGCCAAATATAAATTACTTTTAGATTACCTGGTGTTTTTAATTATCTGCACCACTGTACCACTTTGGTCAGAATCAGAGGTTGATTCTACCTCTGACAATGCCATATCTGCCTTCTCCTGGGCCCAGAGGGCTTTTCCCTATGTTCAATAAACCTTGAAAGAAAAGGAAACACAGTAGAATATCTGTTGGCTCAGCACAACAGGTTTTGAGTAAACGAATTACTACTCTTATGCATTAAATAAAATATATGGTTCGGAAAAGGTTGCTACAGTACTGAAAGTCACTTCATGGCTATCTTGCTTTTTAAGGAAAAGGCCTAAAATGCAGTCAAATTCAAAATAAAGTAAGAAGCAGCATAATGTAAAACAGAGTATTTGGTAAAATAATAGTAATGCAAATAACCACTCCCTAATACCTAAGATTTTGAATGCTAAATTCCGTTGTCATTATTGTTGTTGTTAAGACATAAGCACAGCTAAGTACCCTCAGTCACGCATCCTCAACTGGGGACATTTTGCTCCCCAGGGAAGACTGGGCAACATCTGGAGACATTTTTGATTGTCAAGAGTGTGTGGGAGATGCCACTAACATCTAGTGGATAGAAATTAGTTATACTGCTAAACTCCCAACAACATACAAGGCAGCCCCCGCAACAACAACAAAAATCTACTCCAAAATGCTAATGTACCAAGATGAAAAATCCTATTCCAGGAGTGACTAGTAAATAAAAGTATTCCATTATGCAGTACAAGCAATGGTTATTTCTATACAGACAACAATATTAATCTGACTCTTCCAAGGGTGTGGCTCCTACGTCTGCATTGAGTTCTCAGCAAGGATGTCATCCTAATCTCTGTGCCCAGAGAGCGCTTGATCCCAATATACAAACCAAGGCTCCCATATGAAAACAAAAGCATAAACAGCAGCTAGGCTCAGCGTATCTCCTGGGTTTATATATGAAATTTATCACCTGACTCTCTCCTCTTTACTGCTAAAGGAACATCATCAACAAATCAGTGAATTTCAGAAGCAGCATTAAAAATATCTGCGTTATTTGCTTCACTGGCCATAGAAAAGGGGCCATAAAAGTCATGCATCAAATCCTTAGATGGTGCCTAAGATTATGAGTCTGACAAATTGCAGGAAAATGAACCCATCTGTGTAAGTCCGCAGAATGCAACAAGGAAGAACATTTTGTGGACTAGTTTTCCACTGGCTTATTTGGCTATTTACATGTAATAGCAGTGATCTGTGCATTCACTCTGATTTGTGGGTATAGCAGGTGGCACATGTTTACAGATGCTTGGGAAACTGCCTTGCAAGCTGAATGCAGATACTTTGGCTTGTTTTCACATTTGCTCTGTGCTCCCTGGCAGATCTTTACCTGTGTCTTTCTCTGAGTATCTTCCTTTCTTTCTGACAGGTGAGCTGCAAGATTTTGCATTTTTTCCACCAGTACATGATGGCCTGCAACTATTTCTGGATGCTCTGTGAAGGGATCTATCTTCATACACTCATTGTCGTGGCTGTGTTTACTGAGAAGCAACGCTTGCGGTGGTATTATCTCTTGGGCTGGGGTATGTATTTTCTGCAGCTAAGTTTTGAGTCACTTTCACCTCTGTCTGTATGCTTTCAGTCTTCTTCTAGTCTTGGTCTCAGAGAATAGAGTCAAGTCCCAGGTCCTTCAAGGAATGATGGAACACAGGTACTGGCAGGAGTTCAGTCTCCAAAAGACCTGTGGAAGCCCTTTAACAATCTCAACTGTGCTGAACATGAGGGTCTGCACAGAGAAGGAAGATAAGGGTGACTTCCAAAGGGTAACTTCAGGAAACAAACCTAGCTAATGATGGACACAAAATGTGTCCTGATTGAGAGAAGATCTGATTAGGCCTCCTTCTGCTTTATTCATCACATGTTTGTAGAGCAAAGGAGAATTTCACATTTTGAATTATGTACCTCCCCTACCCTGGCTTCATTTTCCTTCATCAAGAACATTTCTTCCTGTCAATCCATCATCAGGATTCCTCCAGTGAAAGCTCAGGAAGTGGAGTCCAGCTGAGAGGCAGATATAACCACACGGGCTTCCAAGTAGAGCCTGTGTGACATCATAGCACATGGCATTGGCTCGGGAAAGCTTAGGGCTGGATTGTTTAAGCTGTGGCTGCTTCCGTACAAACTAAGGCAGGGTGCTGAAGTCCTTCAGGGATGCTCTAGAATTGCTCCCTTTCCCCCAGGGCTGCTGAAAGTCCAGCTCCCCCTGGTGGAAGGGAACTGAACAGAAGGTGAGGCAATGAAAGAAAATAAATGCTGCGATAAAAACACATGCTGCCTTATCAAAAAAAAAGTTTCAGCCTTACCTTGAAACTTCCATACCAGAGGAGGAACTCGTGGGCCATCCCTCACTGACTATAGAGCCAAGGGCTTCTCTCACCACATCCACCCCACATGATGGGTGACTGTGACTCTGAGAGCAGAGGCTGTGGATGGCCTTCAACTAAGCTTGCCCTTTAATGCAGCAGGCTGGGGAGCCCCTACAAGTACTGGTAAGAGAGGAGAGGTGTAGTGAGGAGGGAGGACAATCCAAGGGATTTTTTAAAAACATCACCTTTTGTATTTAAAGCCCTGCCCAACAGGCATTGTCGCCAACTTTATAGAAATGTGCTTGGGAAGTCATATAAGCAGCCTAGAGTCTTTCCTGCAGTCTGTAAACTGCAGAAAGGGGCTGGTGTTATGCCATACTGGTTTCCATAACACCCTTACATAACAGGGGTACATGGTTTTAACCAAATGCATTGCCCAAGCCCAATGGGATAATCCGATAATGGTGGGTCAATGGGGCAGATAGGCGGGATGCCTCAAAATTGAATTGATGATGCTACAATTATTTGGTTGCAAGCAACAGAGTAAGATGTTCTAACTTAAGCAAATACAGAGAAGTTGTCAGAATCTAGCGTATCTCATGGAATCTAAGGGCAGAAATATAGCCAGGCAACTAAAAGGGCTGTAGCCTGGGAGCAGATAAGCCAGGAGCTCTCTCCCTCTGCCTTTTGTCTTTGTTTTTCCTTGCATATCTGTTTTTACCCTTCTCTTTCTTTACAGGCCATAGACCATAGGGTCTCTGCTCCCTCCAGTTTTCATAGTAAATACATCCTGCCCCAAAGTTTCCTGAGTACACATGTTTCTGTTCCAGGCACTCACAGAAACTAAATGCCCATCTTTAAGTTCCAATTCTGAATAGCAGGACAAGAAAATCTGATTGATCCAACTGAAGGCAGGTAGCCTACCCTGGTTCAATAAACTGTGGCCAAGAAAATTGAGGGGGATGTTGTCACATAGTGTGAACATGTCTAGTGATTGTGAACCCTCCAGCAAAGGACTGAGAAAGGGGTCTTTGTGAACTGTACAGGCTGTCTAGGATATTCACCAGATCACCTCATCTGCATGGCTGCTCCCTTATAAGGAGAGCAGCGCTGCACCCTGTTTCCTTAACCATCCAGTGAGGTTAGAAATCAGGCTATCACTATCCTGCTGGTTCCACATCAGGTAACAGGTTCTCCTGCTCTTTCCTGTCCTAAAACAGGTCAAAATTTACTCAAAATGGTCTTTTACTATTTTTTTTTTTCTCTTTTAGCCCCAGCCTTCCACAGAGACTAATCTTTCCTTTCCCTGGCCTTCTCATCCGTATGTACACCCTCTCAACAATTTCTAGATTTCCAAATCTGGTCATGCTAAGAATAGACTGGATACAATTTAATCACTGCAATGGCAATTCTGATCATCACAATCATAATAATTGGTGTTGATCAAATGCCTTCCAGTCAAAGACCTGAAAATAACATTCCACCCCAAACACACACACAAACACACACATACTTTCTGCCAGATTTATTTCCTTTGAAATAAAATCTGTGGTATATTTCTTTTACCAGTTTTGATTGTTCAAAACATCTATCTGCCATACTCAGAAAATTTTTCATGGGAAAAAAAGGCTGTAAATGTATTCTTGTCGGTGACATTCAGCAGAGACAAGGGCACCCTGGAAGGAACAATTTATACTGCTCTTGGAGTATACTGATGCATTGTGAATTAGTTATAAAACTTTTTGGCATCATCATAGACAGCTCAATGAAGATATCTGCTTAAAACACATAAACAATTCAAAGGAAAAAAGGAACAAGCTGCTCAGCTGTATCAAAAACAAAGGCAATAATAATAAGTAAATTGTTTATGTGATACCTTAAGCTTCTGTAATCAACAACAATTCGAATGATTCAAGTAGAATCCCAAAGAACATTACACTTAGTAACGTAAGCACAGAACGGGGAGTTGCTAATCAATGGTTATACAGATTAAGTAATGCAAGATGAGTAAATTTTAGGTATCTGCTGTACAACATTGTGCCTATAGGTAACAATTTTGTACTATGCACTTAAAAATCTGTTTAGAGGGCAGACCTGATGCTAATTGTTCTTGCCAGAATAATATAAAAATTTAAATTAAAAAAAGAACTAGAGGGATTTGCACTTCCGTAGATGGACTTTTGGAAAGATAGTCAACCAAATAGTTCTAAAATGTAATGTTTTTAGCATGCCAAAGCTAAGACTATCTTTCTACATGCACACACACACACACACAGACACACACACACCAAAATTCCACCAAACTCATTACCACTGAAAAATCACATTGCCAAATCTGAACTCTGAGAACAAAATTGACATATTTTAAAGCAGTGGCTCCTTTCTTAGAATTTTAAGCAAGCATTATCTTTGGATGGGAGGAAAATGGGTGAAATTAATACCAATTAATTTCTCAAGAAAAAAATAGTTTCACAGAAACTTTATAAAGTTTAATGGGGCAAGAGAATAAGTCTCTTCTGGATAATATTTTTATTGTCCTTTGAAAATTTTTTTCACATGAAGACAGTATGATAGGTTCTAAATTTTACAATGCCAGAAAAGAAGCAAAACCTACATACTTTTAAAAGATTCTTGAAAGTTAGACTGCAGAAAATATGGCCCAAAAAAGCCCAGTTGTATTATAGCACCTAATTTGTTTGCAGGTGATGTAAAGCCCATTCATTTAATTCAGCTGTGAATAATGTTTCCAATTCTAGGATTTGAAATGAATCTCAAAGAATGATAAGAGATATTGTAAACATTAGCCACTGGGTGAACAAGTATCTGGTGGTGAAATTCTCCCCAACAGAAAATCAAAGAATGGTTCTTTCAGTAGTTATTCCCTTCCAAGTCTGCATGGCACCACTTAGTAGTCGATTTCTCTCCAATTGAAGTAACTTCAAATACTGAAGTTTAGTTCTCAGGAAGATCACTTATTTTGCAGCCCTCTCCAGACTGTTTCTTTGCCTTGCCTTGCTGGTTTTCCCCTTGTTAGAAATCAAAGGAAGGAAATTTCCCCCATGGACTTCTATATTGAACAAATAGAATTTATTAAATCCCTCTTAAAAAATGAATCCTACACAGACAGGATTATTCTGAATCTCATCATCTTTGGTGGGAAGAATGGGTTGTTATGGATCTTGGGACCTTGGGGAGAGAGAAAGAAAAAAGAAAAAAAAACAGAAAAAGCAAACTACCTAAAAGGAGGCATCATAGCTAGAAGAAGGCAAAGAGCCCTGGGCGTTAAAAGGTGTGGGGTCTATACTCGTCTCCAGATGAAGTAGAAAGCACTTTCCTTTCTACAAAATGATGAGGTGGGATTCAGTTTTCCATATACTTCTCTTTCTCTCTAATTCTAAAATATCCATCTCAAAATAAATCCAGAGACTTTGTTTCTCTTTCTGAGCCCAAGTGGGAAAATGGTATGTTAGAACTGCTGTGAATAACACAATCATGTTTTGTATAAGCAAACTCAAAATTATTTCAGGCCAAACATTAAATCTGTGGTCCTATTGAAAATATGCTTCCTGGGTTTAAAAGCTGAGGTTGTTCTTAGGTGAAAATTCAATATTTTGAGACCCCTTTTTGTATATAACTCACAGAAAATAAAAATGCATTGATTTAATTCTTTCCTAAGACACATTTCTTAATCTGATGACAATAACAAAACCTCTTTCTACAGATGTCTCAATCAAATCAAACAATATTCTACTGTTGTACATCTGAGTAAAAAGACTTATTTTTTCTTTTTTAATGAAAATTACAACTTTAGGTTATACTACAGAATAAAAATTGATTTAAAAAATTATAATCTGGAAGGACGTATTGCAATAACTGTGTCCATTTTTCTGTTTATAAATTAAAAAGTTTTTTTTTTTTTACTAGCACTTTGAGTTTAGTCAAGGAGGTACAGTAAGCTGCCTTCATAAAGTTTCTCTAGCCAGAACCTACAGAAGGTAGGGAATGTACTGGCTTCTCTGAAGTATTCATATTAAAAGGAAACAATCACTGCATGAGATATAAACAGACAGAAAAACAAAAGAGCCTAGAAGAAAGAATGTGAACATCAGCTAAGGCTTTAGGAGCAATCAGACTATTGCTTTCATACACCGTCCCAGGTCACATCCCTCCGGGGTGACCCAGCTCCTCTCCATAAGAGAGGCCAGTTCACCCACAATGAAAGGCTTTCTGGTCTCAGTTAATAGTCATCATTATAAACATAACAATGGTAATAATAGTCATAGTGTACCTGCTACATTCAGCAATTTGTAAAAGGCTTTTAATTATTTGGATGCTCTTAACCAAACTCTCAGGAAGCACATGATGTTCTAACTGGGAGCATTTTGACTGGCTTGACCAAAGATGATTTTTGTGAAAATATCAGGGGAACATCTTGACAGATGCACTCAATTTGCCAGTATTTTTGCAAGTACACTACCATTGTCCATGCAGCTGTACTTAAAGGTTATGACCAAGAAACCAAGTGTGATTTGTACTTTTCACATTTGTAGGGTTCCCGCTGGTGCCAACCACTATCCATGCTATTACCAGGGCCGTGTACTTCAATGACAAGTAAGTATTATGGTGATGTTTAAGTTAACATATTCATAAACAAAATGTATTTGTGTATTAATTGTCCCCTTGCCCTTTTTCAGCTGCTGGCTGAGTGTGGAAACCCATTTGCTTTACATAATCCATGGACCTGTCATGGCGGCACTTGTGGTGAGAATTAGTTTTTTATTGCAATATTAGTAGTATTATCTCTTAGTTGAGATTTCTGTGTATATAGTTCTATGTATCATATGTTTTATAACTTCAAAATGAAGCTAATTTGATGGTATTCTGTAGTAAAAAAAAGCAATTTGATTTTAGACTCTTCAAAAAAACGCCTTTTACTCACACATGGAGGGGTTATCATGAGCTCATTTTCATTACAGACTCACACTATAATAGCAATGTAGCTCATATTTTAAGATTTTTATAACTAGATTCTCCTAGGTAAAGGTGAGAGGCCAAGGGGCTGCAAGAAGTTTGTTTGTGTTATGAACATCTAGGGTCTTTGAAAACTTTGACATTCCAGAGCTCTAAAAGTCTTTGGTTCTGTGAACTTAAGGTCCAGAAATCCAAATATTCAACACAAGCTCAATTAGTGAGTTAGTAATAAATAGTGGACTCCCAGCCAAATGTCAGATGCTTACTGAGGATGCTACAGTTCTTACTTACCTAGGATTCAGTAGACTTGGCCTCATGTCTTAGCTCTATCATCTACCAGCTCTGAAAATTTAGATAAATCAATTAACCTAAAAATGTCCCCTGATTTTTTTAAGGGAAAAGTTAGATTAAATAATCTTTCAGGTACTTTTGGAAGATAATCTCTAACTCTAGGTCATTAAAACTTAGTACTGCTCCATATCTTTATCTGTTAAAAATAACAAAAATAATAATAGCTACTCATAAATTCACGATTATAAAATATCTCCTAATAAAATAATAAATAAAGTAAAATGAAGTAAAAACTTTAGCAATTATTCCTATATTTAAAATTCTAAAATACATATTTCTTGCCTTAATTATCTAGAAATTTTTAAGGAAATGCAGATTCTAGGATCCAAATTATAAATGTGTATCTGAGTTGAGTATATGCATACTTCACTGTGAATGACCATAAATTAACAGAAATTGATATATTTGGAATTCTTATTAATTTCATGACTAAAGGAAATGCACATTAGTGCATTTCAAAACTAAAAAAAAAGATTCAACAATTAACAAGGTGAATCATTTATACCTTAATAGTTGATTTTTCTCATTTTGAAAGAGCTGCCCGTGCAAATATGGGCACTTGATTTATGACAGCAGCACTTTTGGGCAGAGGAAGGAGATGGTCAATAAGATATACATACAGAAAAAATATCAAACATGTATTTAGCAACTGCATATGTGTGGGGAAAAAGTAAATTCTGATTCCTTCCACAACCAGACACCAAAAAATGTGTTTTTAGTGAACTGGAGGTTTAAATGTAAAAGACAAAACAATAGAGGCCCCCCAAAAAGACACATTATGTTGAGTATCTTCATGAGCTTCAGATACAGAAAGATTTCTAAAGCAGGATACAAAAGGCACTTAAGGAAGAGATTGATAAATCAGCTACATTAAAATGAAGACAACATTTAAAGACTGAAAAGACAAAACTTAGAGTCCAAGAAGGTATCTGCAATGTTCCAAATAAAGACTAATAAATTTATGAAAAAGTGTTCAGCTCATGTATCATCAGGAAAATGCAGATTAAAACAAGAATGAGGTAATACTACACCCCTCCACCACCCCCGCCATAGAAAGGCTCATATTAAAAAGAGTGTTCATACCAAGTGTTGGCAAGGGTGATGAGCAACTGGAACTGTTTTATATACTGCTGGAGGGAACATAAAATTAAACCACTTCTCTAGAGCCCTAGAAATGCTGAGCCAATTGTGCTACCTCTCAGGTAGACTCTCATGTTCTATGTAGGTAACATTTGTTGCTCACACTGGATAAACAAGAATTGAGAACAGTGCATATTCTTAAGTGATACTTTTCTGTATGATTTGCTCATAACACCGTATATTTGCAGGTCAATTTCTTCTTTTTGCTCAACATTGTCCGGGTGCTTGTGACCAAAATGAGGGAAACCCATGAGGCGGAATCCCACATGTACCTGAAGGCTGTGAAGGCCACCATGATCCTTGTGCCCCTGCTGGGAATCCAGTTTGTCGTCTTTCCCTGGAGACCTTCCAACAAGATGCTTGGGAAGATATATGATTACGTGATGCACTCTCTGATTCATTTCCAGGTAAGGAAGCCAAAGGTGTATTTATTCAACTACTGTGCTTATTCAGCTAGCTGATTTTAACTCTAAAGCCCATGATCTTTTATTATTATTTTACTTATTTGTTTATTTATTTATTTATTTATTTATTATTTTATTTTATTTTTTTTGACACAGAGTCTCGCTCTGTCCACCAGGCTGGAGTGCAGTGGCATGATCTCAACTCACTGCAACCTCCATCTCCCGGGCTCAAGCAATTCTCCCACCTCAGCCTCCTGAGTAGCTGGGATTACAGGTGTGCGCTACCACGCCTGGCTAATTTTTGTATTTTTAGTAGACGGGGTTTCACCATGTTGGCCAGGCTGGTATCAAACTCCTGACCTCAGGTATTCTGCCCGCCTCGGCCTGGGATTACAGGTGTGAGCCACTGCGCACGCCTGACAAGCCCATGATCTTCAATGTCATAACATTTAAGCCTCCAATTCAATAAGCCCAGCCAAAATTCTGAAGGACACCAGTTTTTTTGAGGCTCTTTGTTGCTGTTTCTTTCTGTGCCTGCTTTCCTGTCATTCCCAGGGCCCTCAGCTGGTCCCATCCAGGCATGTTCTCCTTGGTCATAGATACAGAAATTGTCAGATCTTCCTTTATAAATAAGTGCTGGCTCTGGGGTAATGAGGAATTTGCACAAGGCTGTCCATGCCTCCTGCTCTATCACTCTCCATTTGTCAGGTGAATGTTAGGAATCCATTCATGACGGTTCAGTGCTATAAAGGGAAGTTGTATCCAGGCCTCCCCTCATGTAAGAGAGAATGCAGTGGGCTCTCAGGGGCTGTCCTGGGCTGTCCAGTGTCTGCCGCACTGGATAGGAGAATGGCTGCCCTAGTTCCATTCACCTTTACCCAGATCTAAAGCCCCATTGAAAGCATAATGCTGTATTTGGATAGCAAGATAGGATGTGGGAGTCCTTGGCAGGAGTAATTCTATCACAGGCTCTTAGGCCAGAGTTTTGCTGTCTCTATTACAAATTTCAAAATAGTTTTATTTTCTATATTAGGCTTAATGTGAGGAGGAGGTCAAAATTAATAGGGCCAGAAAGAAAGTTTAGGGATCGTTTGAATAGTTCGAACTGTTCTTTTAGCCATAATCAAAACTTGGGCACAAGAAATCTTCAAGCAGTGACCAGGACTCAGGCAGTTTCTTAGTCCATGTCCTTATCTGAGCGATGAACTTGGCGGTGGGTACAGTATTGCACTAGTTCACCATGACAACATAGGACACAGACCCACAGCCTCCCACTATGACACTTGTCTTGTAAAAGATCCCTCTACTGAATTCTGCAAGGTCTCCATTTTTAAATTTTCTAAGTGTAGTTTTTTTTTTTCAAATTCACCATAATCAGCATATGCTGCTATAAATCTCCATGTTAAAGGGAGCAAAATATTATTTAGATTAGCAAAATATTAATCCGTCCTTCTAGCCAAACGATGGAATCCTAACAAGAAAAATATATTTCTAAGGGAATATTCTTATAGTGCAGCACTGACTATGAATGGTAGATAATTCTTTTTCTTGCTTTTTTTTTTTTTCATCAGGCCTTCTCTGGGCAGTCTATTATATTGTTTACTAAACAACATAATGCACACAAAAATAACTTCAACTGTATTTTTCCTTCCCTTTTTAGGGCTTCTTTGTTGCGACCATCTACTGCTTCTGCAACAATGAGGTAAGCATGCATTTCATATAATACTATCACTTGTTTGTGTAAAGGCAGCATTTTTTCCAAAGGGCCTCTGTACAAATTTCATTTCATCTCACTTCTACAGTTGACCTCATAGGGTTTTGTGATTAGCAACATGATGTTTTTTCCACTACTCCAAGCTGAATCTTATCCATGGATGTGTAGTACAATGGCAAATATGATTCAGACAGGCAGTTAATTTCCTTGGGTTGCATCTTGAACAGATCAGCACCCTCAGGAGCAATAGTGAAAGCTATTCTGGATGCCATCACAAAGAGAAGTCATATTCCTATTCCCTTCGGAAGACCCGAGCCCTCACTAGGGCAGAGACAATCTCCATTCGGTTTGTACTAGTTCCTCACCTTCTTTTCCAGTTGCTTGGTGCTAACGCCCTACTACTTACTCAGCGTTTTGAAAATCACCCTGAAGTGAAGATTCAAAAAGGATTCTCAAATAATCTACAATGTGAATATTTAGATCAGTAAAATCTAGAGAGCCATATGGCTGATCCATTCTGTTCTCAGGGTGTTTTTAGCCAGAGTTACCCTTTCTTCCAACCAAATCTTGCCTGGGAGCCAAATCTATAAAACATAAAAATGGAGCTTCTATAGCTCCAGACATCCTTCCAAAGAACTTCCAGGGTTTTAGGGAACATGATTCAAAATCTTCCTCATTTTTCAGGGAAGAAATCTGAACTCCAGAAAGATCATGTGATTTACCCAATGTCACAAATGCACTTATGGTTATAACCCAGACTGGAACACAGATTTCCTGTTTTTCAATTAAACTGACCAACTCCCAATTAACTTATCTATATCTATAATTCCTTCCTGGAGCTATGTTAGTATGTTTTTTCTAGGACCACACAACTTTTAATGCCAAAGCATTTTTGAACATTTTAAATCAATTCCTATTAAGAATAATTCCATACAAGGCAAATCACATTTTGCCAAGACATCAATATATTACTTTCCTATTAGTAATTAGAAACATTTCTAGCCATTGTCAGTTGCTAATTTATTCTCTATCTTTTTACTAAGTTAAATAATATTTAGTGAGCACCTACAATATTTTGCTATTCTGTGACCTGTTCATACCCGTTTCCAACCGCAACATGACAAAGTTTTTGTTGTTCCTATTCTCCATTTTAGTTATTACATTTTATTCCTTTCTTTCTTCATCCATTCACCTACCAACTCATTCCTTCATTCAACAAAAATACATTGTGCATTTACTATTGCTAAGGGCTAGACTAAGGGCCTAGAATAGAAATGAAAAGACATCCTTCCATTGCCCGCTGTTAGAGTGGCAATATTTTTAGAATTTTAATATTTTTTAGAATGATAAAAACTAATAAATGAGTAGGGCGTAAGTCACCCCGTGTTTATATCAATTTCTGTGAATGTATATCCATGCCTTTTGGGTTGTTTCAGGTGGCATGCAAAATAAATTTTTTGTCTAAAATAATATCAAAATAGAGCTAATATGAGAAATCAGGCTCAGTGGGGCATACCTGGAAAAACACAAGAGGATTGCATGCATTCGTAAAAATACCACAATATTTATTGTGTCTTATCTATGATACTGTCATTGGAAGTGTCAGACATAGAAAGCAAACCCAGGGGTACCCTAGCAATTGAATGTCTCGAGTTCATTTGACTATATGTTATCTCTGATTTTGAAGTAAAGAAACCATTTCCATTTTCATTAAGATCCCGTTACTGGGGGAAGGTAAAAGTGTGACATTTCTAATAATATAGAATTGTGTACTGTGCCAGATGTAATATCACAGACCCATGGATTTTAGGCATCTGGGTCTCAGCTGGTCATTCTGCGAATGCATCACCTTACAATATTGAACACAGGCAGGGCACTCACACATGCAGGAAGTTATTTCCAGCTGCATCTAAGATAGGGCTGTGATGGGATGGTGCCTGGCTGAATACTGAGTTTTAGCAGAAATCTAGGGGGCTAACTCAACATAATAATGAGATCACATCACATTGTGTTATGTGCAATTTAATTTTGATTATGATTGGTATGTTATCAGTGAAATTATTATTTCATTTTTGAATTTTGATTCATTATTGGTATGTTATCAGTGAAATGATCATTATGAAAATGAATTATATAGAGAGTCAGTGGGTAGACTAGAAGCAGGAAAGGAACTTGAAGAATTAAAGTAATAGAAATCAGGAGAGGACCATGAGAGCATGCTTATGTATCAAGCATTTCCTACAATGACTCTTCCAAGTGAGTGGACATTGATTATCCAAACATATCAGTAAATTATTAGGTACCTAAGAGACCTGAAAAAGATGATTGCAGCTATAAAAATGCACAATTTGTTTCCAAGAAGTAGCATAGAAATGAAAGTTCTAACAACACACTAGATTTTCTCCCTTTTCTTGTGTCTTTCTATTCTCCGTACATCGTGGATAAAATAGTTTATAGAAGGAAGTAGCATGATCAGAAACATCTCCATTTAACTGTCACAAATTGGAGTGTGCAAAAGCTAAAATTTTGTTTATTTCCTGTAGCTTATCTTGCTTTCAAGAGACTATTCCACCAGCCTCTAGTGGTTTACAGCAGTCTCTTTATAGAAAATATTCAGTCAATTCAAAAAGCCTTTGTCCAAAAGAGCAACTGGCTACCAAGTTTTAATGCCAGCACCTGCTGTTGAAGTTCACGCTGGTTCCCCTTACTACTAAGCCCTCGAGAAGTCTTTTCACCTGTGGCCTCCTTGATGAAGCCACAGCCCTATTCTGATTCACAAGTTCTTTCCGCCAAGCCACCCGAGGAGCCTGGAACTCCAGCTCCTTTCTTCACACCACATAGAGCCTGTGAATCTATCTTCAGCACATGCCATAGCCGTTGCTGCTCCGCTGTTGGACATGGTGCCAGGGGCAAATGTGGAGTTTCTTTTCAGGGCTGGCTATTTTCAGGACTGTGCTCTCGAAACAAAAAGAAAAACTTGATGTAATGGAGGGTTCCTAAGAAAGCAAATGATCTTTTGCTTGATTTCTTCTGCCCATTTTCCCAGGTACTCCCACCACGAAGGGAAATGCAAGGCCATTTGTGTGTCTTTCTCTCCTCTTCCTCTCAGGCCTCTTGGGGCTGTGCACTCACCACTTCCCCTTCCTGTCTGTGAGGGTCTCTACCTATATCATATTCTACATGTTCTCTACCCTGTAGCTTTTAGTAAAACACTATCTGCAGACCAGTAAGATTTTCACAACATATGCAAAGAGAAGTTTCTTCTGTTTAGAAATTCTCCCACTCAATAAAGCCTGATTTTCAATACAATGTCTTTCTAGAGACATAAGAAAGCCAGCTTTGAGTCTCAATGCTAAGCAATAATTTTCCTTGTTCTAGACCAGTATTCTCAAACTTGAGTGTACATCAGAATCACCTGGAAGATTTCTGAAACCAGGGATTGCTTGGCCCCAGCAGCAGTTTCCTATTCAGTAGGTCTGGGGTGGGGTTTGAGAATTTGCATTTCTAACCAAGTTCCCAGGTGATACTGATGCTGCTGACCCAGAGACTTCACTTTAAGAACCACTATTCTAGACACAATCACACTTGTTCTTCAAGCAGTGGATGACCTTGACTTAATGAACTGGGGAGATGTAGGAAATTTTATTTAAGAAAATTAAGAAATACAATGGCTGAATGTTTTCAAAAAGTTTAACTTTATCATAAATGATACTTAGGTATTGTTACCCTTTAGAGCAAGGAATCTTCCCCAAACATAAGAAAAGAGATAATGAATGGGAATCAGAAAGCTCTGATTCTATAATCAAGTACTCAACTCAAATTATAGAGCATATAAATTTTGTAAGATAAAATCAGAGACCAGTAGAGATATTGCTGCTATGGCCTCCGAAAGACTGAAAAGAATGTTGACAACAACTTTGTAAATAATATTCACAAGTATCCCTTAGCATCTAATTAATAGGGCTTAATACGAATCTAGCTTTCAGAAGTTGTATAAAACCACCTAGGCCAGGCGTGGTGGCTCACGCCTGTAATCCCAGCACTTTGGGAGGCCAAGGCGGCTGGATCACAAGGTCAGGAGATTGAGACCATCCTGGCTAACACAGTGAAGCCCCGTATCTACTAAAAATACAAAAAAAAAATTAGCCGGGCTTGGTGGCAGGCCCTTGTAGTTCCAGCTACTTGGGAGGCTGAGGCAGAAGAATGGGGTGAACCCGGGAGGTGGAGCTTGCAGTGAGCCGAGATTGCGCCACTGCACTCCAGCCTGGGAGACAGCAAGACTCTGTCTCAAAAAAAAACAAAAAAACAAACAAACAAAAAAAAAAACCGTCTAAAGTGTGCAATTACTTTTTAACTTCTAGGGAATTTAAAGTGTTTTTTTTTTTTTAATCATGATTTTTAAATGTCAAGCTCAGGTTGCAGCAGGTCTGTTAGATTGTGGTGACAGTGTGAAGGAGTGGGCGTTACAATCTTTGCATTCATTGGATCAAAACTGCAGAGGTAAACCTCACCTTCTATTCCGCAGTACATAACTATAGTAGGTACTTAGAATGAACTCAGGAAAAGAAAGGCAAAAGACAAAAACATTCAAATCCAACCATGAAGACTCTAAACTTATTTTGTTTTGTACAAATGTAGGAACTGAGGCCTAAATATACAAAGGCCAAATATTACAAAGCTTATTAATAGAGCCAGGTATAATAGTTAAGTCTTCAAACTGTGAGGCCAGGGCTCTATTTTTATAAGTTGGCAATACATAAATAGATATAATCAGGAAAAAAAGTAAAGTGAATAGTGTGTATTGCTTTTTTAGTGAGTGATGAATTTATATAATTCAAATCTTTTTGTTGTTGTTACATTTATCCCACTTACAACTGAAAACATTTATTTTCAGGAGCAACAAAACTCTCCCTGTTTTGTTTTGTTTTGTTTTTCAGATTAAATGCCCTTATTCTTGTCATCAGAGCAGCATCAGACTCAACCTGTGATATTGTAGGAGATAATTGCCCTTATTAGTCTATAATTTTTTAAGTGTCTTTTTTATGCTGCTAAGGGCCTGTTATTATATGAATAGTTTACAAATCAAAGCACATTGCCATCTCCACACAAAAGGATGGGTTGTAATTTTGGACGCAATTAAAGAAGGCCGTGAACCTTTCTGTAATAATAACTTTTAAAAATTAAAATAGAAATCAAACCGTTTGGCCCCATGCTGGGCTGTGTACTTTATTAATATAAATGGATACTCTATGGGAGTTATTTTAAAAGGACAGGTGAGAAATAAAAGACCTCTTTTTCATGCTGCATACTTTTGCAAACTAACTCTAAACTCATAACTGCCTGCTTGGATACTTGTAAATATCTGTGTAAGTTTCAGCTACAAGGATAATCTTGGTATTTAAGAGATGCTGAATCCGTGGAAATTATCAGCTTCCTTTTTTTTTTTTTTTTTTTGAGACGGAGTCTCGCTCTGTTCCCCAAACTGGAGTGCAGTGGCATGATCTCGGCTCACTGCAAGCTCCGCCTCCCAGGTTCATGCCATTCTCCTGCCTCAGCCTCCTGAGTAGCTGGGACTACAGGCGCCGGCTAATTCTTAGTATTTTTAGTAGAGACAGGGTTTCACCGTGTTAGCCAGGATGGTCTCGATCTCCTGATCTCATGATCTGCCCGCCTCGGCCTCCCAAAGTGCTGGGATTACAGGCATGAGCCACCACGACCGGCCTATCAGCTTCCTTTGACTGGAGACATTGCTTCTCCAAAAATGTGCTGAACCTGTATATTTCCCAGTTTCTCAATGGGGCATTTGATGGTTCCTAGATTATAACCCTGGCATTTAAAGCTACGGTAATAGTACCACCCAAATAAAGCCAGGCTCTGCTTGGTACTGTGGCTTTGCCACATTCTAGCTATATGATTTTGGACACATTGCATAACCTCAGTGCCCCATCCATAAAGTGAAGATAGTAGTGCCCTTCCCATAGGGCTGTTGTGAGGATTAAATAAGTTAATACAAATCACATACTTATGATACGGTACTTAGTAAACACTCAATAAACAGCTGAAACTTGTTATTCTATCTTTTGTTCTTGCGTGGCTTTTTTCAATACAACTTTCAGCTGCATGGTCCACCTTATTCCTTAGCACTTAAAGTTTTTGTCTTTGTCCGTTTTAAATCACTTTAGATATAAAGTACCCTTCATGCAAGCACTCATTAACCCCAAAACAAAATAAAACAAAACTCAGGATGTGTTGCCTCCATAATCTGAAAAGTCTAATATTCCAAATTATCAGATTGCTAAATAATTCTGATTGCCATTTGTCACCTCGAACCTTACGGTTGCTGTGCTGTGTGAAGATAAACTACCCCCTTTAGTTGCTTTTTGAGGAATCATTTGACTTTGTCTTTCTCTGAGTAAAATCTTTAAAAATATATGAACAATACTAATTATTCTCAGAGGAGATTATTACTCTACTAGATACAGGAAAAAAAAAGTATATTTGCCACAGAACCATTCAGCCTTATATTATACATATAGTTTTATAACATTAATCAGTTTTGCTGTCATTTTTCTCATCTCTCAGATTTGTACAAATGTAAAGTAGATAAAATGATTCCCCATGATCAAGTAGTTACATGATTTAGTTCACATTATATATTCCCCAGGTTCTCTCTCATGTGTTTAGCTGTCATATGTGAGTTTGGCAGCAGAATGAACTAAGGATGTATCATAAATTGATGCAAATATTTTTATGTAAGCTTGTTGTATGTACTGAGCAATAGAAACTCAGAAATACAGAATAGAGATTATTGCAATAATCTCTTTTTTAGTTTTGTTCAGCTATAGAGAAAAGCAAGAAGTTTGGAGACAACAGGAAGGAGGAACTTAACTACTAAATTGAATTCGTTTCTATAAAAAGCAGAGCTAGACAAGCAAATTCACTGTCTGTGGTACTGTTTTCAGTTGTGGTTATTGTAGTTTTCATATTTAGAGCTTTCTGATGTTAGCATCTTTGCCTCTTGTTTTCAATATATAATTTATCGTATTTATAAAACAAGTCTGGCAAGTTTGTTTACATTTTAGAAGTCTTTCAAAAGAAAGAGAAAATCTTATTCTTAAAAAGTTGTCATGGCATTAACCAGAGATGTATCTGGCATAACCCATCTCAAGTCATGTCGGACAAGGAAAAGTTCACTGTACGAGGCCATTATCATAAAATCCAGAACTGTGCTATGGTTTACATATATATTTTTCATGTGCACACTTAAATTAAAAACTTCTGCCTTATCAGGGATGGTAGCATATAAAAAGTTTGGTCAACCTTTCTCCCTATTATGACATGTATACCACATTACCTGTGAAACCAAATCAACTTTTATTCATTGGATATGAAAGCTAAAGAAACCTTTTCTTAAAACTAGCAAACAACCTTGCCAGGGGTAATTTAAGCAAGTAACTCAGTTCTTCCATTTGCAAATTCTTCTTCCAAGTTGATATATTCTGTGGCCACAGCATACACAGCCCAGCCCTTTAGATCAGAATTACAATTTAACTTTCTTTAAATCTGATAAGCTCTAAGAACGATGTTCGTACACTTTGCATGGATCATTTCTGACTATCATATAAAAACAAGGCTCCTTTTTCTCTTCCAGGTCCAAACCACCGTGAAGCGCCAATGGGCCCAATTCAAAATTCAGTGGAACCAGCGTTGGGGGAGGCGCCCCTCCAACCGCTCTGCTCGCGCTGCAGCCGCTGCTGCGGAGGCTGGCGACATCCCAATTTACATCTGCCATCAGGAGCTGAGGAATGAACCAGCCAACAACCAAGGCGAGGAGAGTGCTGAGATCATCCCTTTGAATATCATAGAGCAAGAGTCATCTGCTTGAATGTGAAGCAAACACAGCATCGTGATCACTGAGCCATCATTTCCTGGGAGAAAGACCATGCATTTAAAGTATTCTCCATCCTCCCAGGAACCGAACATATCATTTGTGAAGAATTATTCAGTGAATTTGTCCATTGTAAATCTGAAGAAAGTTATTCTTGGTACTGTTGCTTTGGGAGACAGTCTAGGAATGGAGTCTCCCACTGCAACTTGTGAACTCCATCATTCATCCAGGACTGAGATGCAAATGTCACAGTAATGCAAGCAAAGTATCAAAGAAAAACAATGAAATTGACCTAGTTCAGATACAGGGTGCTCCTTGTCAATACTGAGCCATTTATACCTTTGAAATATTAAAATCACTGTCAATATTTTTATTTTTAACTCTGGATTTTGAATTAGATTATTTCTGTATTTGGCTATGGATCTGATTTTTAATTTTTTTAAATTTCAGTCAATTCTGATGTTACTGAGATGTTTTACCATCCTTACAATGTAAACCACATGAACTACGTGACCTCTGCAAGACAAAGCGGCTTTCTAATAGAGAGATTAGTAAATATGTGAAGAAAAAGACCTGCATTTGGCAGGAAGATGTATGCTTTGAATGCAAAAGAAATTTAGAGTCAATTTGCTGAAAACATTACATGCTCAGCTTGGTTTTGGACAAGCCTGTCCATTGGGCAGGACCTAGCTGTTGTAAAGAATTGGTCTTAATGTTGAATGTATTTTGGTTGCTGATGTTTATAAACTGAGAGGTCACAAAGAATCTATCACTAAAAATTTTTACAAAACTGCCAAAAATATAATTCTTAGTGGAAGACAATACTCCCTTTAAAGAGAGTTTGCCACTCCCCTAAACTCCAGGATTTATAAAGCAAATTACTCCAAGGTTTATAAAGCAGATTACCTCTTGCCCTTGGGTGCTATCTAGCAGTAAAAGATAAATTTGTTGAATATTGGTAATTAAAAGACTCCACATAAGTCCATTAACTGCTTTCCACCCAGCTTCAAAGCTTAAAAAGAGCTCAGGCTTTTCCAGGAAGATCCAGGAGGGCTAATTAGAAATCAACTTGTGGTTGACCGCTTGTTTCTTGTTATTACCAAAACAGGAGGGGAAAAAATTAACTGCTCCAAATTTAACCATAAATCAATTCATGTTTAACGTTTCTCATTAAAATCCAGTATTATATTATCATATCTCTCTTTACTTCCCAGTATAAGATTTTTGAAAATCCTGAATAAACCAGTATCGTTACTGGCACCTGAAATTAATTTGTGAATTTGCAACAGTAATCAGAGTTACCATTATTTAATTTGTATGCTAAATGAGGAGGTACATTGAAACCCTCCAAATCTCCAGTCTCATCTATGTCATATTTTGCCACTGCCTTTCAGAAGTGATTTAGTTGTGGAAAGATAATAAATTGATTTGTTATGGTTACATATTTAGCGCACCCAGAGAAAATTAATTATATTTCTACAGAGAAAATGAATTTGGGATACTAAAGTAGTTTAAGTCTCCTTTACTGAATGTAAGGGGGGGATCGAAAAGAAGGTATTTTTCCAATCACAGTGTTATGTAGTATTGTTCTATTTTTGTTTACAAACATGGAAAACAGAGTATTTCTGGCAGCTGTGGTACAAATGTGATAATATATTGCTAAAATATTTTAGATGTTATTATGCTAATATAGTAGGGGTTGAAGAAAACAAAATAGCTTATTATAGAATTGCACATAGTTCTGCCCAAATTATGTGAAATGCTTATGCTTGTGTATATGTATAAATTAATACAGAGTACGTTAAAAGCAAAAAGATGTATATTTGCATATTTTTCTAAAGAAATATATTATTCATCTTTTCATTCATTCATCTCGTCTCCTGCTCATTCCATGCTGTTTTTGATTTCAGCCATGGGCTGCTACCATCCCATCTCATTTGTACTGTAGGAGTGGGAAAGATAATCTAAAAGCATAGGTTAGAAACCATACACAAAAATATCAAGGTTATTATCTTTATTAGTACAAACATCTTTAGTCTCAATTTGATTGTAAATTCAGTGACACTGTTCTCATGCCCTTGATAACACAAAACCACACACCAGTGTCAATCAATATTGCATAGGTTTAGGAAGCACAGCAAAGAAATCAAGTGTAAGAAAGTATTATATCCTTTTATTGTTCTTGTTTTTTTATTCATTATTCTGGGACCAGACTTGATCTGTCCAATATCACATCAGATCCTTAGAATTGTTACAATCAATCATTGGCTTTTAATATAGTTTGGAAGAGAGACTAAGGCTAGACGAAAGGCAACCAATTAACTATCATTAGAATGCATAAAGCCCACCATTGGAAGGATTTTCAGATCTGGAAAGCATGAAATGGAAAAAATGAGGATTAAATGAGAACTCTGATGGACTAAAAAGGGGAAGAGGCGCAATTTGTAGATTCTTCTCATTACGTGAGAACATCCAAAATTGTGGCCTCATGAGATCTGGGAAACTTCTTCCAAAAGGATATGTAAGGATTACATCTTTCCCTTACATTCCACGGGGAATACCGATAGATATTATCATTGTGATCTTGAGGAACAAAAACAATATTTCGCATCATACCATAAAACATGATTCCTCAAGAGATAAGTTTGTACTCAGACGGTCAGCTTCCCTTTTGCTTTGACTCCTATTTTTTGATCCAAAACAGGCCTTTAGGTGCAAATGAATATTACAGTTACTGCAGGGGAAAATGTTGGAAAAAACATGACAAAAATGCTATCATCCTTGAGCTACAATCATTCTCATTCATTACTTCGTTCATTAAACATCGATTCAACAGATGTTTCATATGCCTTCCATCCTGCTATATAACAAATATTTATTAATGGTAGTTATCAAGGCAAACGTTCTTTACAGTAGGGACTGCTTCTTTTTGGTGCAGGGGTAAAAATCAAAACCTGCTAAGTGAACCATTACCCTAAAACCATAACCACTGATATCTTGGGGGTGGAAGAGCAAAGTGACACATGTGGCTGGAGGTGGTAGCTGAGTGTGATCTTCCCTCCTCATTAACACTGGACATAAGAGCTCTAGTTGTAAGAAACATTCTCAGAACAAGATCTCAGGACAAAGTCTCAAGCAGGATTCACTTTCTTGACAACAAGGTCTACAATGGTGGTTCTTTCATTGGTTAGATTACAGCTTAACTAGTTATCACAGGAGTTAACACTTTTGGGTTTAAAATGAAATTATTTATGAAGAGGGTAGATCAGAATCCATATTTAGAAGAGCAATCAAGTAAAAGCAGGAAATTCTATTTGCTATTTTGACAGAGTAAACAAGATGACATTCCTAACTTAAGCTTATGAAAGTTGATTTACTGAACTAATAACTCGTATCAAGCAGGAGGTTACAGGAAACAATAACTGGAAACATGCAGAAAAGGATGATAATATGTGCATGTGAGGGCAAAGGAAGATAGAGAAGCAACATTTGCAAATTAAGAACTAACTATTTCTGATTTTTTTTCTTCTGGACGTGAAATTAACATTTTTTAATATCTCTGAATAATATGAAGCATTGAAGGAAAGAAAACACAGTCATTGAAACTGTAACCAAAAAAGAACAGGAAGATTTTCTAATATCATATCTTCCTCCATTCAGATTAGCAAGCATCTCTGACAATTTTCAGAGATTTTCTATTATCTGAAGCATTGGTCAGCCAGTCTCTTAAGTCACTAATCAATGCCCATTTTCCATTTACAGAAATTCAATGCCTTCTATCTAGTTTTCCCAGAAATCCTTCCAATGAGACACAAGCTATGCCATCCCTCTTCACCTATTGACCAGCAATGTCACCTCATGTCACTACAGTCTCTTTTGCTTAAGAGACCTGTTATTTTAATTTGGAGAATTTTGCCTCCAATAAAATCTCAGAGTCTTGCAGGTGAAGTGCCTAATAGAAATTCAATACAACCAGTTGAGATGTCTTTAATGAAAAAAAAATCAGAAAAGATTGAGAAATCTGTCTCCATCCAAACCTGCCAGACTGGCTGATTAAAGCTAGCACACTGGTCTCTCATACAGAGGCCATACAACTAAACATAGAACCAGCTGTAAACTCCTGAAATCTCTGCACAGCAGAATCGGTGGCTAGTCTCTGTGCAGCAAGCATTTCTCAGGATGTAGTCCCTTCTTCACTGCACTCATGCATTGCAACTTCTATATGCTCTCCTCAGGAGAGGAATATTGTGAGCTTAAAGATGTTGAGAGCATCCCTTTAATAGAGAGATAATTTAAGAAGAAAGAGAAAGAGATAAACATTAATCATTAAAACACCGTACTCAATATAATAGACCAATAGACATTAGCTCACCTACTCTTTATAACATTATGAATCCTCTCTTTATGCCCATTTGAGTGATGAGAAAATTACATGGAAGAGAAATTGAATAAATTGTCTACCACGATCACACAGTTAGTAAGTAGCTGAGCTAGGATTTGAATCAAGGATACCCAAAGGCTCTGCTTTTTAAATTGCCATCTTGGTGGTCCTACTGTACCAGCCAGCCTCTCACGGGTAAGGCTGTTCCCGTTTTTTAGCTCTAAAAAATATTACATAGTAAGTTCTCATAGGTTAAGAGAAGAGAGATAATTCACAACATGTATCTTTTTGGTCCAAAATTAACTTAATTGAATGTCCATAGATTCCTTCAACCAAAAGGGATCTTCAGATGAAATTTATTTTTCTGTAGTTTCAAGAGTTTCTTTCCATAGTGGTGATTTTTATTTTTAGCCAGAGAGTTTTTCAAACACAACACTAGTTTGCAGCTTCTATACTTTGAATGTCGTCTTTGTGCAGATATTTAAGAGACAAAACATGTTTTGGGAAACTTTCCATGGTTTCTCAATGGACACACCAGTCCTAATTTCAGGCCTGCAAAAAAGCTACATATAAGTAGTCAGGGCTGCACTTAATACTGTTGCTAGCAGGATTTCCACTTATCAGTTTCGAGAACTGGGGTCTGAATAGGTAGGATAATGAAGATTATGAATATCATTCACCCATTCAACTATGCACCAGATGATGAAAAAAGGCAGAGAGACAAGAAAGAAGAGACACTGAGGAACATGAGGGACAGCCAAGATAGCAAACTGGTTAGGGTGCTAGTTCCCTCTCTGGTTACCAACCTTGGACAAACTATAGAAGCAGAGAGGACACATGCATGTCAATAATTAGTAATTAATTTAAAAAGAAACAACAGAAAAAAGGAAGCCAGTGGGACTACTGGTTATAAAAATGCAATACCTGAAGTAACACTATACAGAATAGTTGAAATAAGTAACACGTGATAATTTAGACACCACTTAAAAATTAATTAGTGAGTTAAAAACTAGATTGGAAATCTCAGAGGAAACAGGAAAGAATAAAGACATAGAAAGCAGAAAAGAAAAACCAAGAGATATAGAAATGGAATTACCAATATCAACAGTAGGAGTATCAGAAAGACACAAAAGAAAATGGAGAAGGGGACATATTCACAGAAATATGTTTTAACACTCTGTATGGTTAAAGACAAAAGACCTCAACTAGCAATAACTCCAAAATGGCCAAATAAATGCCCCAAGCTAAAATTTTGTTAATGTTGACAAGATTAGGGCAAGAAGAAATCATGATCTGAGAGCAGGATAAAGATTCTCTTTTTTAGGAGAAAGACAGAGGTTTGGTAATTAAAAAGCAATATGGGTAAGTTAATGAGTATGGGTCTTAAGATGTGTGAAATAAGTCTTCATATAACATTTATAATAAGGTGATCATAGTCGCCAATTAGAAACAGAGATTCTCTTAATGGGAAAAAAAAAAGCAAAACCCCACAGACAACAAGAGATGCACATAAGACACAAAGCACAACAGGCAATAAGAGATATATGTAAGACAAAAGGAAAACAAAAGATTAAAAATGAATGGGAAAAGTTATGCTGGGGAAATATGAACCAAAATAAATTGGAAGTTCTCTCTTAATATCTGACTAAATAGAATTTTTTTGTTGTTGAGATGGAGTTTCACTCTTATTGCCCAGGCTGGAGTGCATTGGCGCGATTTTGGCTCACGGCAACCTCCACCTCCCAGTTCAAGCGATTCTCCTGCCTCAGCCTCCTGAGTAGCTGGGATTACATGCATGCACCACCACACCTGGCTAATTTTTTTGTATTTTTAGTACAGATGGGGTTTCTCCATGTTGGTCAGGCTGGTCTCGAACTCCCGACCTCAGGTGATCCACCCTCCTCGGCCTCCCAAAGTGCTGGAATTACAGGAGTGAGCCACCGCGCTGGCCCTAAATAGAATTTAAGACAAAAAAATATCATAAAGAGTAGCATATTGATACATTCAGGCTGCTGTAACAACAAACCTTAGACTGGGTAATTTAGACAGAAGTTGATTGCCCACAGTTCCAGAGGCTGGCATGTCCAAGACAAAGGCACCAGCAGATTTGGTGTCTGGTGAGGGCCTGTTCCTCAAAGAAGGTACATTCTATTTGTCTTCCCATGGTGGAAGAAGGTAAGGGAGCTTCGTCAGGCCTAGTTATTTGTTTATTTATTTATTGAGATGAAGTCTTGCTGTGTCTCCCAGGCTGGAGTGCAGTGGTGTGATCTTGGCTCCTGCAACCTCCGCCTCCTGGGTTCAAGTGATTCTCCTGCTGCAGCCTCCTGAGTAGCTGGGATCTCAGGCCTCTTTTATAAGAGCACAAATTCGGGTGCAGCGCACCAGCATGGCACATGTATACATATGTAACTAACCTGCACAATGTGCACATGTACCCTAAACCTTAAAGTATAATAAAAAAATTAAAAAAAAAAGAGCACAAATTCCATTCATGAGGGAGGCACACTCATGACTTAATCACTCCCCGAAAGGCCCCACCTCTTAATACTGTCACATTGGGGATTAAGTTTTAACATATGAATTTTCAGAGAACACAAACATTCAGACCCTACAGATGATTTATCAGTTGTAATTGAGGACTTTAACACATATGCTAGATCAAACAAATAAAATATTAGCAGTATGGTAAAATACCTGAAAAATACAACATTCAATCTCAAGCAATTAAAAATATACCAAACACTATACTCAACAAACATGAAACATGCATTCTTTTAAATATGCAGAGAATGTTTACTAAAAAGCCATGTTTAAGATCCTAAAGACAATCTCCATTAATTCTAAAGAATTAATACCAGTCTATCATTGTTGGACATTTGGGTTGGTTCCAAGTCTTTGCTGTTGTGAATAGTGCCACAATAAACATAAAATTAAAAAACAAAAAAGAAAAGAATGAATACCATGCCAAAGATCTCTGATCATAATGCAAAAAAATAGAAATTAATAGCAAAATTGCAGCCTAAGCAATCCGATGTTGGAGGCAATAAACATATCTAAATAATCCTTGCTTTTAATAGGATAGTAAGAATTAGAGAATGGTACCGATCTTATACCAGCAACATATTAGTTTTACCTACAGTTGTCCCTGGATGTCCACCAGGAGATTGGTTCTAGAACCCCTCCCTCATACCAAAATCCAAGGATGCTAAAGTTCCTTATATAAAATGGAGCTGTATTTGCATACAATCTACATACATCCTTTCATATACTTTAAATTATCTCTAGATTACTTATAATACCTAATACAGCATAAATAATACATAAATAGTTATTATAATATATTTTTCATTTGTATTTTTTCAATCATATTGTTAATTGTACTGTCTTTTAAACATATTTTTCATCCATAGTTGGTTCAATCTGCAGGTGTGGAATCCACAACTATGGAGGGCCAACTGTATTAATACTACTTCAATAAAGAAACCATTACATCTCTAAATTTATGGAACATGCCTAGAGCAGTTCCTAGAAGGAAGCTTAAACTTTAGATACCTTTAAGAAGAAATCAGAAAGTGAGCAACAGAGTAAAAGCAAAAACACGAGAAGGGTAATGTCGTATGAGACATTACCTTCATGTAAAAATAACCTCCAAGTATATTTTCAAGCAAGCTATCCTAGAAAGGCTCACAGACTAAATTAAGATGCTCAAGTCACACAGTTTACTTAAGCAATTGAAAACACTTAGTGGGAAGCTTTGGGAAGGAGATGAGGTAGGTTAGCACACTTAGGATAGGGCATTAGCATGATGGTATAGCCACAGTACGTGAATCCTTGGGTACAGTGTTCACATGTCCTCTCTAATCACGTATTCCCTGCTGAAGATGTGGATGTGAGAAACCAGAGTTGAGGTCTGAGCAATGGGATACAGGGTATGAAAGGTGACTAGAGCCAACATATGGTACTTACTCTATCAAGGAGTTGCAGGGACAAGTACTTGTGGCTACTGTTGAGCTTTCTAATTATTATCAACTATGGGTTTTATCTGCACTTCTTGGGCAAAGGACACAAGAAGTAGAATAGGTGTCACCAGGGGTAGAAGATTTAAGTCTATGTTAAACACACATCTGCTGTATTCAACTCATTCTATGTCTAATATATCTCACAGTTTACTAACTACTTGTTATTCATACTTCTTTTTCACTTTCCACGTTCTATAGCAGAATCGAATGTTCTAAAATAACTCATCAAACACATATCACAAAGGGACAAGTGTTTCAAATAGAAATCAGTGAAATAAGGAATGAGAGAGAGAAAGAGCAAGAGAGAAAACCAACAAAACCAAAACTAACAAAATTAACCATATTAGTTAAAACTAACCTGACACTGAGGCACCATTCTATAATTCTTAATATTCTTTAAAAAGTAAGAGTTATTTAGAAACATTTCTTGCTTCCAACATAAGATTGTTTAACAGTAATGTCAAACACTAGGTCAAAGAAAAATATCAAAAGAGCAATTTGAAAATATGTTGAGACAAAAATGAAAACACCGCATACGAAAACTTATGTGATGCTGCAAAAGCAGTAATAAAAGAGAAGTTTATAACACTAAATGCCCACAATAAAAAGAAGAAAAAATCTTTAAAAAAATCTAAATTAAGATGTAAATTGTCCCAGTTTGCAGAGGACATAATCTTATACATAGAAAACTCACTGACAAGGAAATTAGGAATATAATTTGGTTTAAAATAACATAACACCAAAAAGAAAATCTTAGAAATAACCTTAACTAAAGAGGGGAAATATTTTAACACTAAGAATGAGAAAATATTGATAAAATATATTTTAAAATACACACAAAAATGGAAAGAAATTCTGTGTTCATGAATTGGAAGATTTAATATTGTTAAAATTTCTATACTACCCAAAGTTATAGACAGATTCAATGCAATTGCTACCAAAATCTCAATGGAATTTTCTAGCAGAAATAGAAAAAGCAATTCTGAAATTCCTGTGGAACCACAAAAGACTCTGAAAAGCCAAATTAACCTTGAGAAAAAAGAACAAAGCTGGAGGCATCACACCTTCTGATTTTGAAATGTATTACAAAACTAAAATAATTAAACCAGAATAGTACTGGCATAAAGACAAGTAGATAGACAAATGAAACAGAATAGGGAGCCCAGAAATAAATCCATGCATATATGACCAATTGAATTTCAACAAGGATGTGAAGAAAACACAATGTGGAAAGGATAGCCTCTTCAACAAATGGTGTTGGGAACACTGAGTATCCACCTACAAAAGACTGAAATTGGACCCTTAGCTTACACCATAAACAAAAATCAACTCAAAATGGATTAAAGACTTAAACGTAAGAACTGATACTGTAAAACTAATAGAAGAAAATGTTGGAGAAAAGCTTCATGACATTGGTATTGACAAGGATTATAAATATGACACCAATAGCACAGCAACAAAAGAAAAAACAGACAAATGTAATTACATCAGTCTAAAAAGTTTCTGCACAGCAAAGGAAATAATCAACAGAGCAAAAGGCAACTTATGAAATGGAAGAAAATATTTGTAAACTATATATCTGAGAAGGCATAAATACCCAAAATATATAAGGAACTCCTACAACTCAATAACAAAAAAAAAAACTAATCCAGTTTAAAAATGGGCTAAAAACTTCAATAGACATTTCTCCAAAGAAGGCATACAAATGGGCAACACAGGTATATGAAAAAATGTCCATCACTAATCATCAGGTAAATGCAAATCAAAACCATAATTAGATGTCACCTCACATCTCTTAGGATGACTATTATCAAAAAAAAAAAAGATAAGTATGGGCAAAAACATGAAGAAATTGCAGTCCTTGTATACTGTTGGTGGGAATGCAAAATAGTATAGTCTCTATGACCGTATGAAGGTTTCTCAAAAAATTAAAAATAGAACTACCATATGATCCAGTAAACACACTTCTCAGTATTTATCCAAAAGAAGTGAAATTAGGGTATAATTTCAATCCTCTGCGTGTGCATATCAAGTTTTTCCATCACTATTTGTTAAAGAGACTGTTCTTTCTGCATTGTGTGTT